>NT_187589.1:0-76061 GCF_000001405.40 Homo sapiens
CTTTATATCTTTTAGATGCTATTCCGTCATCAGATTATTTATAAGTATTTTCTCCCATTCTTTCACTTTCTTGTTTAAGCACACAATTTTTAATGTTGATGAACTTCAATTTATCTTTTTTTATTTTGTTTGTGTTTTTATTGTCATATCTAGAAAATCATTTCTTAATCCAAGGTCAGGAAGATACAATCCTATGTTTTCTTCTAAGAGTTTTATAGTTTCAGCTCTTGCTTCTAGGTTTTGATCTATTTTGAGTGAATTTTTGTATGCGGTGTGAGGTAGATATTCAACTGCATCCTTTTGCATGTGGATATTCAGTTTTTCCATCATTGTTTGTTGAAAAACCTATTCTTTCCCCACTAAATGGTCTTGGCACACTTGTCAAAAGTTATTTGACTGTGAATGTGAGAATTAACTGTTGAATCTTCAATTAAATTTTATTGATCTATATCTATCCTAATGGCAGAACTACAATGTTTTGGTTATTGTTGCTTTGTGGTAAATTTTGAAATTGAGAATTATGAACCTGCCAACTTGATCTACTTTTTAAAAATTGTTTTGGCTCTTCTTGATCTCTTGCATTTTCTTATAAATTTTAGAATCAGCTTGTCAGTTTATGCCAAGAGGCCAGCTTGTATTTCAACAGAGATTTATTGAATGTGTAGGTCAATTTCAGATATTTCCATTTTAACTATAGTAAGCCTCTGACTCATGAATATTGAATATCCTTCCATTTCTTTAGGTCTTCCTTAATTTCTTTCAACCATATTTCTTCATTTTCAGAGTATAAGTTTTGTGGTTCATTTGGTAAATTTATTCCTAATTATTTTATGCTTTCTAATGTGCTCATAAACAAAATTGTGTTCTTAATTTCATTTCTGATTTGTTCATTACTAGTGTTTAGAAGAAGTATAGTTGATTTTCGGAACTGATGTTGTATACTGTGTGATGAACTTGTTTCTAGTTCTAATAGATTTTTACTGTAATTTTGAGGATTTTCCATATATATCACATTATCTGCAAGCAGAAATAGTTTTACTACTGTCTTTCCAATCTGGATGCCTTTTGTTCAACTTTCTTGCCTAATTAGCCTGGCTAGAACCTCTAGGACATTGTTGAATAGGAATGGTGAGAGCAGACAACTTTCTCTCCTTCTAGATCTTAAGAAGAGAACATTCAGTCTTTTGCCACTGAGTATGATATTAGCTGTGGATTTTTTTTATAGATTTCCTTTTTGAGATTGAAGAAGTTCCCTTCCAATGCTAGTTTGTTGAGTGTTTTTTATCATGAAAGAATGTTGAATTTTGTCAAATACTTTTTCTTCATAGAAATGACCATGTGATTTGGGTACTTTAATCTATTCATACAATGTATTACATTAGTCGATTTGTAGATGTTAAATCAACCTTTCATTCCTTGGATAAATTCCACTTGGTCATGGTGTGTGATCTTTTTTATATGTTTCTGAATTCAGCTTGCTAATATTTTGTTGAGGATTTTTGCACCTGTATTCATAGGAATATTGGTCTACAGTTTTCTTGTAAAATATTTGACTGGTTTTACTGTCATGGTAATACTAGCCTCATTAAAAAACTTGGGAAATAGTCCTTCCTATTCTTTTTTTGGTAAACATTTGTGAAAGTTTATGTTAATTCTCTTTTTAATTTGCAGTTATATTTACAAGTGAAGCCATCTGGACCTGAGTTTTTTTCTTGTAGGTAGTTTTTAAATTATTAACTCAAAGTTTTTACTTGTTATAAGTCTACCCAATTTTCTATTTCTTCTTGAATCAGTTTTAGTAGTTCTTGTCTTTCTATGAATTTGTTCATTTTATCTAATTTAGCTAGTATTATTTTCATTTTATAAATGAAAAAACTTAGGCTTACACAGATAAGAAACTTTCCCCAGGAATAAAGCTAATAAACAGTCCTATCTTATGCCAATCTCAAACTCAGGTCTGTTTGAATCCAATATGTGCAGCTTTACCCACTTGATGAAATAATTCTATGTCTTATCTAGAAGAAAGAACAACAATATAAAACAATATTCTGGAAAGAAAAATTTTTAAAGTGGATGACAAGTTCTATCAGATATTAAAACACATTATAAAACAATAATAATTAAAACAGTGTAGCACTGACACAAAGCTAGATAGACAGTTCATTACAAGAGAATCAATAACTGGAAAATAAATACACACACACACACGTACATATCAACATATGATTGGAGTGCTTGTCGCAGTATTGTCCATGGCCCAACCAACATCCAATATCCTCTTCCTCCTTCCTAGGAGAACCTGACTTTATTGAATCCATTTCCCATTCAACCATGGACCTGAGGCTGGCCCTCACTGGTTTTAGGAATATGTCACTCCCTTGCTAGTGATTAGCTCATACAAAGATACAATACACATTTCTGGCCATTGAGACATGAGAAGAGGCTTGCTACTATTCCCAGAATCACTGGCTTTCTAAGACTGTTTACTGTTTAGTAGAGATGGGGTTTCTCTCATCTCAAGTCTTCTTTTAACTATCTTCCTGGAAATTCTTTTATCTATTAGCCTATGTAAAACACACCCTGCAATGGCTTTCTGAGAAAGGGAAGTAAGTGATTAATTACTTGCATGTTTCAAAATGTCTTTATTCTACCCTGGGCTTGATTGATGAATGGGGTTTGGTAGGGCAATCTGTGGTGGAAATCATTTCCCTCAGGATGTGGAATATATCCTCCCCTGAATTCTAGCTTTCAGTGTTGATGTTGAGTAGTCTAATGTCATTTTGATTGGCAGTCTTTGATTGTGACCTCTTTTCTAACATGCAGTCTTCGTTTTATCCCTGATGTCACTGTCTTTTGTATCCTACAGACTATTTGAGAGGTTTAATATCATATTGGAGGCCAGGTGTCATGGCTCACACATATAATCCCAACACTTTGGGATGCCAAGGCGGGTGGATCACCTGAAGTCAGGAGTTTGAGACCAGCTTGGCCAACACGGTGAAACCCCATCTCTACTAAAAATACAAAAATTAGCTGTGTGTGGTGATGGGCACCTGTAGTCCCAGCTACTCAGGAGGCTGAGACAGGAGAATCACTTCAACCTTGGAGGTGGAGGTTTCAGTGAGCCAAGATCGCCCCACTGCACTCCAGCCTGGGCAACAGAGCAAGACTCCACATTGGCCGTTTTCTTATGCTCCTTTATGAGATGTCTGTTTATATCCTTGTCTGGCTGTCCTATTGAACTGCAAGAACTCTTTGTATATTATAGACATGAACCCTTTGTCTGTCTTCTGTGCTGCAGGTATTTGCCTCAAAACATCATTTTTTCATGTATTTTATTCATGGTACCTGGTGCCATACAAAATTTTTAAATTTGTAAATGTGTTTATACTTTCTCTTATAATTTCTAGGTTTTCTAAGTCACAAAAACCTCCTTAATTCCTATGTTGCAATTGATACTCTCCCAACTTTTCTTCAAATGCTTATGTTGTTTATTCCTTGCATGTAAATCTTAATCCACCAAAAGTTAGATTTTGTATACAGTGGAAGCTAGAAATACAATGTGATTTTTCTCTAGATGCTATGTTAGTTGCACCAGTCCTTTATCAAAAAATCTATCTTGTTCCCACTGAATTGAAACATGGCTTTTGCTATATCAAAGTCCCATTTATGCCAGTGTCTATTTCTTATCTCCCTATTATTCTCTTCTGGTCTATCTATTCCAGTGTTACTTCTGTATTGTTTTGAATCTGATGTTCATACTCGATAAGAAAGCTAGTGCTTATCATCTTTTTCCTTTTTTTAAATAAGTATTCTAATTTATTTTCCATATAAATATAATTTTAAAAATCTGTCCAGTACAAAATTTAATTGGAATAGCTTTTAATTTGTAAGTTAATTTAGAAGAAATAACGTTTCAGATAGTCACCTTCCCAGCCAAGAACTTGATATCTCCTTCCCTTGGTTCGCATCTTGTCTTGTGTCCTTCAGTGGGATTACACATCTTGCTAAACGGTAATACCTAGAGCTAGACAGGATGCAGTAAAACTGCTATATTGGTTAGTGGCAGTGTGGATTAGCTCCACTCTTACTGAAAAGCAATTTTACAATGTGCAAAGGGTCATGAAAATGAACATTTTGCTGAGATGGAGCACCATGCTCTGGGGAATTTGTCCTCAAGATATTTTCAAAAGAAAAAAAAAAGCACATGTGAAATATAGCATCGATTATAATGTTGAAAATCTGGAATCAATATAAAAATCCAATCGAAAGGAGACAGTTTTTCAACATTGGGTAAATTCAGTTAATAGTTAAGTCATCAAAATGGTAATTTGAAAGTTATATAACAATTAGTATATGATAAGAGGAAAAGTGGGTTATAAAATTGTATGGATAAGCTAAGACTGAAAATATGTAAAAATATAGGGAAAAATCACAGATAAGAATACATAAATGAAGCTTGAAGGCATTATCAGCTTTTGGAAATTATAGGTGAGCTTTTTCCTCTATTTCCCAAACTTTGTATAGTATCATTATTTGTTTTGACTATTTTAAAAGGCATAAAGTGTAACTAATCAGGATTAAATGAAAGGGCAACTGATTTTTTTTTTTTTAATCCTTTTGGAATGTTTTCTCTAAAAAGCAATTGGACTGATTTTAAATATACGTGGCAACAAGGATAAACTGCTAATGATGGGTTTGCAAATACAGATCCTGCTGAAACAGATAAAAGTAACTCACGATGAGCAGTTCCTGTGCGATCCAATACGCCGTTTCTTCGAGAACAGTCGTTCTCTTAAGTTGGTTAAATCTGTCTCTGCAATCTTGTTTGGAGGATTGATTTGCATCTGAAACCCTCCTTGAAGTACAAAGATAAACTTCAACTCAATTAAGATTGCATTATCCAGCATTCTCATTAACGAAATTTAACATAGTACAATTTCCCCATGCACCATCGTTCATCACATGAATAACGTTTTGTGTTCATTGTGATCAATAAAGCCAAAGTAACTGTCACTTTCTCTACCTATAATGCAGGCTTATAAACCCATTCGTAGCTTGACCTGTAAAGTGTGTTGTGTACACACGACATTCTAGGAATAGTTTTGGGCGCTTTATGTACCTTATCTCATTTAATTTTCATGATCCTACTGATCTCGCAGACTCAATCCAAGTTTCGTCTCACACTAGAGTCTGACCTCTGCTCACCACACTGTACCTGTCATCCCAAAGTTCCGTTTTCAGTGTAAATTTCTAGGACACTTCTGATCTGCGCAGGAAGAAAACCCATACCCTGTGCAGTGATGCATCCTGTCAAACAGCTCCACATGATTTATAGCAACCAAAACTGCAGGCACTTTCCTTTAGCTCTTGGTGTTTAAAGAATTGAAGTGATGATGGGTGAAATTTCAAAGGCACCAATAGGTGACTAATTAAATAGTAATGTAGATGAGGTTGGCATATCACATCCCAAATCAGTTCCACCTCTGCTACCGGTCGGTTCATACACTCAACAATTTCCAGAAGAAATATATTTTACACCAGTGCAAAATCCAGGGTACCTGTGTGACTAAACATGGGGAGAAATGGAAATCTATATCAACAATTTTAATTCTATGTATGTGATTTCAGTATTACCAATTGAGGCAATATGAGTCTTAATCTGATAATTTTTCAAAGTAATCTCTTATGTGAATTATCTGCATGCTGCAGATACTGAAACTTTGTGATTATTTCTACTAACAGTTAAAGTAATTTGGACAAGGTAGAGTTTGGCTTTGTACAGATTAGAGGCCGATGAGTGATGGATGGATAAATACAACAGAATTGCTCATTTTAAGGCATTTGTTTACCGCAAAACAGTCACCCCTGAAGTTCACCAAGGTAAACTGCATATTTGCCCAAACTGAATGTGTCCCCAACTGAATTCCGAATTTCATTTCTGCTTCGAAACACATTACTCTGAAAACATAATTTGGCAGTGTTTCTCAAAGTTTGATCTTGACCAACTGATATCAGAATCAACCGGAGAGCCTCTTAAACCTTCAGATGGCTGTCTCTGGGGACTGGTTCAGTTGTTTGGGCTTGGGTCCAGAGATCCTCATATTTAATTAGCTCCCGGGCAGCCCTGCTGCACATCCTGAGGTGGGACCCGCTGCGTCTTCCGTTAAGGTGTCCTGGGTTGCACCATCAGAAAGCCCAAGTGTAACTGGCATGACCAATAAAGAAAATTTATCTCTTGGAATTTTGGTCATGGTCCCAGGAGGTCTAGAGCAGCTCTGGGCACCACATACTTCAAAGTCCAGAGGCAGGAAGAGACCATCTCTTTGTTACGTCCTGTTTTTTCCTTTTTTTTTTTTTTTTCCTTTAATGACCCCAGACAAAATCCTCTTATATGTCTTTGGCCAGGATTGTTTCACATGCTGAGGTCTAAAATACACCATTTACTGGCAAAGGTTTTGGAGCTGCCACATTTGTTTAGAATAATTTCAAAGCAACCCTGAGTTACTCAAGGCAGTGGTAGCCACCCCACAATATGCTGAGTTCTGAGAGCAGAGGAGGCAGTGAACGATTGTGTGAGGCGAGGGACAGCCCAGTTACCCCGATTTGATCCGTAGACATCGCACGAACCTATGAAATATTGTAAGTACCCCCAAAATGTGTACAACTATGACATGTCAATTTAAAAAAAAGGTAGTAAACAGTCTTTGGGTGTCTCTGGTGCCAGGAAACTGTGTTCAAACTAATTTGGGCATAACAGCCAGTAGTTATGGCCACTCCAAAACAAAACTACACAGCTCTTGGGGAGGAAATGGTCAGAGAGAAGGATGCAATATTTGAAGAAGAAATGAACACAACAGGTATATAAAAATTAAGAATGCCAAAGGCCAGTGACTTTGCCCTTGGCCTGAGTTCTGAGAGGTACACAAGAATGGAAATGGACAAAGTGTGAATACTTTGTCGTGCAAAGGTGTTGCATAAAGCTGAACACTATTATGTACATTCAAGTATTCAAGAAATATTTCCTGAGACCCTCGGAATGCCAGGAACCAGACGCAATGTTGAGTAAGACCAGGATTCTGTCCTCAACGTGTTTTCCCAATAATGAAGGAAACGGGTTAAGTACGTGTTTACTTACAATTGTGGTGTGATAAATGCTATTGGAGAGACATAGAAAGGCTGGTAAGGTAAAACCACAGAGGAGAGGCCCTCACTGCAGGGATGCTGATCCACAGAGAGGGAAATGAAGGAAAGAAAACCTCATGGAGGAAGCGCCCAGGAGCTGAATTTCGAAGCTCTCTATGGCAGGAGCTTGGAATCCAGATTTGGGGAGAGCCTGGGAAAGGAGCAAAGTCGGACAGGCCGATGGAGGGGGGCCAAGCCACACCACAGAACGTGGGTTTGACCTGGCAGCCTAGCAATCCCCAAATACTTCTGATCATGCAACCAGAACAGAAAGTTTTGAGCATGAGCATCCAATATATTTATATTTAGTTGCAGTATGCCACTATACCTATTTGCAACATGCCACAGTATTAGGCACATAATAAAATACACCACTAATTAAAGATTAAAAATAAAATAACAGTGAATTAAATAAACATTTTCATTTGGTAAGAACTTTTTCTCACTACCATAATTATGAGTGATACTTATTTCTTTTCCGTTTAACTGTGTGAAATGAAAATAACTCAGCCTTTCCATCTGCCGAAAGCTTGCAGGAGGAGTAGAAAGAAATGCAGGTATCAGCTCTAACCATTTCTTGGGGTTTGCTGATGTTTGCATTTTCCGTATGTCCCCCCACCCGTTATTTCTTTGCAGAGGAATCTTTTCCAACCATTTCTTTTTGTGAAGGTTGGTCTAGAGAGAGTTGGGTTAGTAATCCCAGCCGCTGCTGACGGGGCCCACCAGGCCACAGCAGGTCACCAGAGGCTGGCTACGAGTCAGAGATGGGGGCTACCAACCCCGCCATGCGGTGGGGCTCCCACCCTCCACCCTGGACACAGCCATTATGCACAAGACGCAGGAACCAAAGGAGGGTACGGGCGTCCCCCGCATCTTACATATATTACAGCTCAACTTATTTTCTTATTTTTAGAATCAACTTTGTTCTAAGAAGCTCTCCCTTTGCCTCCTGCGGTGACCTTCCATGTCTTGCTCTAGAGGCCACTGGCAAAGCAACCGGGCCTAGTGCTAGGAGGGGAGGGCCAGGGCCGCTGGGAGATGCGCATATAAACTGCAGGGGCTAACACGGGCCAGAGTCGTCCAGGGCCGCTCAGCTGCAGAGGCCTGAGAATCCTGACAGCGGGAGGATGTTGAGTGTCACTCCTGAGCTCCGAGGGTGAGCTCGCTTAGCCCAGTGGTTCTCGACTGCAGGGTGAACCCGAATGGACTGGAACCAACGTGGTTGGCAACACACACGGCTGGCTCAGCCCCAGGGTTTTGGATTCAGCAGGTCAGGGCTGGGAGGCAAGGAGTTGCATGTCCAACAGGTCTCGGTGCTGCTGGAGCTCCAAGCCACACTTGGACTTGGAGAGCCGCTTTGTCAGTGCGTATGCATGAGGAGGCGGGAGAAGGGCAAACTCCTGTGGGTAGCTGCAATGACTGGCTATAGCTGGAGGAAGAAAGCCGTATCACAGAGGGCAAGGGGGATGGTGCTGAGATGGATAGGGCAGGCTGAGCAACACTCATGTGTCCCAGGGAAGACAGGTTGTCTGAAAGGAGCCACTGGGATTAGAAACCAAGAGGGTTCTGGAGCCCACGGAGGCCTCTGAGAATCAAAACCACACTGTGGGAGGGCAAGATGTGGACGTGGGGCCTAAGAAACCATTCTTTCAAGGAGATGGACTCTGGAGGGAAAAGAGGAAAGGAGGAGCCGTAGGGATTCATTTTTGTTTTACTTCTTTTTCTCCCCCCCAACTGTTTTTATGGTGGCAAAATACACAGAACATAAAATTTGCCATTTTAATCCTTTTTATGTGTACAGCGCAATGGTATGAAATACATTCATAATGTCGTAATGTCAGACAACCACCACCAACACCAGAGCTCCTTCCATCTTGCAAAACTGAAACACTGTCCCCATCAAACACCAACCCCGTTCCCCTCCCCCAGCCCCAGCAACCCTGCTTTACTGTCTGTCCTTGACTTTGACAACACTAAGTGCCTCTTAGAAGTGGAATGATATTTGTCTGTTCGTCACTGGCTTACTTCGCTGAGCTTAATGTCCTCTAGGTTCATCCATGTTGCAGGGTGCGTCGGGATTCCCGTCCTTTCTAAGGCTGGTAATACCCACTGCACGGATGACCCCGTTCTGCTCATTATTCATCAATGGAAACACACTTGGGTTGGGTCCACATATTAACTCTTTAACAATGCTGCTATGAACAGTGGGTACAAATATCTCTTCGAGACCCTTGTTTTGCTTCGTTCTTAAAGACGAGGATGACTAGTAAGACCCTGTCTCTTAAAAAGTAAAAAGAAAATATTAGCCAGCTGTAGTAGCCCATGCCTGTTGTCCCAGCTACTCAAGAGACAGGAGCCCAGGAGGTCGCGGCTGCAGTGAGCTATGACTGCACCACTGAACTCCAGGCTGGCTGACACAGCAAGACTCTGTCTTAAAATAAAATACAATATATACAAATAAAATAATAAAGAAAATTGATGAAGACAGCTAGACAACATTGACGTGTCAAGGAGGAAGCCCCAGAAGAGAGAAGTATTGAGAAGAAGAAGAGGAACTTGGGAGAGAGGAGGATCTTTGAGGAAGCAAGAAGGGGGACCCTAGAGCTGAGCTAAAGGGACTCCACATGATGAGGCAGGCACAGGTGTGGCATGGGCAGCTCACAAACCCTGGCCTCATTTTCTCAGGGGGAACACCAGGGTCAGAGGCTCTGGGGCCTGTGAAGATCAGGAATCGCCATGAGAGGCGTGGAAAATGGAATTAACTGGGAAGGAGAGGAGAAAAGGATGACTGTGGACTGTGTCCCCTCAGGCAACACTCTGCAGTCTGGTGCAGGCCCCTGGGTGTGGGTGGTTGGGATCCCCAAGTCGGTTGGGGGTGGCAGAAAGGCCACAATGCAGAGGTGCTGACAGTATGGAGGGGCATGTGGGGGGAGAGGCAATGGCCCCAGGGTCTGGCTAGCATTGGAGTAGAGGGCTGTGGATTGAACTCAGTTCACAGATACTCTGAGCAAGCTCGTGACATGCAGATCCCTGGGCTCCACCACCAAGAGATCCGGATACAGCAGGCCTGGGCAGGGCCTGGGAATCTGCATTTCTATCAGGCTTCCAGGCGAGGCCGATGCTGATACATTCCATAGGGTGCACTTGGACACGTGCCCATCTGGTCCAACATGCTCATCGTCTAGCGTGGAAAAAAGAATGCAGAGAGCTTAAGCGAACAGAACAGAACCCACTTCCTGGGGAGCCAAGTCAGGACCCCCTGCCTCCGTCACCCTGCCCACCCCAAAACATCCCCCTTGTGGCCAGACTGTGATATTCAGGATTTGTTCACATTTTGTATATAAGAGAACAGACGAACTTCAGCCTCACCCATTGCTCTTTCCCTCTGGATGAATATTCCTGGATAAACCTCCGGGCATGCTGTCTTGGGTACACTTGCCATTGCCATGCCGTCCCTCTAGTTAGTCCCTCTAGGTCAGGGGTCTCAGGGCCAGGGGAGAGGCTGGGCAGCTCTTCAATTCAGCCCAATCAGAACGACATGAGTCTGAAGGGAGAAGGGAAATGCTCTGAAAAATTACATTGAAGGGATTCATAGGAACTGCCTTAGATCTTGTTTTTCAACTCCATCTCTTCCTTTACAAACAAAATCTGGATCATGGGTTTAAAGGGGCTTTGAGATCCTTGAATGAAAGGAACTAGGTCAAAGCTTGCTCTGAGTATGTGGTTTTCTGCTTTAAAAACTTGGGAAACTGATTGGTTACAGAATATAGTCCAAAGCTCTGGACACAGCATGCAGGGTTCATGATGAGTTTCTTTTCCATCTAGTCCCTGTCACCCCCAGCATAATCTACCCAGATCATATTTTCAGCTTTACATGAAGTAACTTGGGATTTTTCTGTTCTCTGAGTATCTTCCATTGTTTCCCTTCCCTGGGATGCTCCTCTGCCCAACACTAGAGAGCACTGGTGGCCATTCCTAAAAACGCACCGGAAAATGTCCAAGTTTCCTGCTCCCCTTTAAAAACGTTTGAGCTGTCCACCAATGGATGAGTGGATAAACAAAATGTGGTCCGTCCAAACAGCAGAGTAAGATCCAGCCGTAAGGAGGACGGAAGCTCTGACGGGCTACGACGTAGGTGAGCCTTGAGAATACGGCGCTGAGTGAAAGAAGCCAGACACAAACGGCCACCTAGTGTATGACCCCGTTTCTATGAAATGAACAGGAAAGGAGACAGAAAGCAGATTCGTGGTTGCCAGGGTAGTGGGGGGAAGAGGGAGATGGAGAGTGACGGTTTTATTTTGGGATGATGAAAATGTTTTGGAACTAGAGGTGGGGGGTTGCGTAACATTATGAACGCATTAAATATCATGGAATTGTTCACTGTAAAATAGTTAATGTAGTGTTATGTGAATTTCACCTCAATTAAAAAAACAACAACAACAACAACCAAAGCCATCATGTGAGGCCCAGCAAATCTGAGCCCTCATTCTCTCCTGGTAACTGGCTAGGACTAAGCAGCCACTGGCCCTTCAGGTCAGCATCCACGTTCCCAATTGTCACACTCCCTGCTTCCCTTGTTGGGCCATCAGCGGGAGGGCAGAGTGTGTTTTATTCACATCAATGGGAGGACAGAGTGTGTTTTACTCACAGCACTTAACAGGGTGCGTTCGGCAGTCCAGATGCTCACATTTCCTTGCTCGCCAACTTCTAGAACCCGGTCTGTCCCTTCTGCAGCATCATCCCCTACGACTCCCCTGCCTGTGCCTGGCGTTGCTCCCGTGCTGGATGACTTGCAGTTTTCTAAACACCTCACATGTGCTCAGACCAACGTGCTCCGCCATGCCGATCCTCCTGTTCCCTGCAAACCCAAATCAGCCTTCAGGGCTTCAGCAGCGTTGAGTCACGAAGCATCCCTCAGCAACCTCCCGCTGAGCACCCACAGGATTGGTGGCACTCTGCTCACCTTCCCTGGTGGGTACACCCCTCTAGAGGCGGCTCCCGGAAAAAGAATCTGTAACTATTCATTTTTTAACTTCCAGAGTCAGGCACGAAGTTATACCTAGCAACGGATCCCAGAAGGGGTCCTGGTGGTGCTGTCAACATGGAAATTTTAAAGGTCACATTTTTTTTTCCTTGAATTTCTTTTCAAATTTTCGTTGAGTTTTCCTTTTCAAATTTTAGGTGAGCTTCTTGCGACATGATGTTTACACTCTCAGAAGAATGAGGGGTTTTGCCTCTGTCTTGCTATATCACAACTTATGTCTTTAGAAACTATTTCATACTTCACACACCAAGACACTCCAGCGATGTTCTTTAGCAGAGGCAAGTAAGGAGTTTAGCATATAGAGAAAATAAAGCAGAGGGAAAAGTGTTACTTCTATAGTGTAAGGTGCATTCACGGTATTTTTCTCCCGAGTTGAGGCTGTAAACATCTATTTCTTGTTTTATGGCTCCATCTGCTGGCAGGTCTCAGAATGTCTTTCTCATCAACACCTTAAATCCTTGGAAAAGTTATGTTCACATTGTATTCCAAAAGGCACCATTTAGTTTTTACAAAGCGAAAGCCTTTGGAAAGCTATTTTTCTTTCAAACTACTGGCTTCCAACGCCTTTTGGCCTCGCCCCAAATTTATTAGCCTTCTCTGAGCATAAGAATAACTTGATGTTACTTCTTGAAATTCCTTGCACCCGTCCCAGACCTCCTGGAATCAGCGTGATCTGGGAGTCTGTATTATTTGGAAGTTCCCTCAGTGGATGCTTACACTCAGGCTAGTGTGGGAAACGCTGACATCTAACCTGCCCCTTTCATGGCACAGATGAGACGTAGGATTTGGGAAGGTGGCTTGGGGAGCCTTCAGCCCTCTCCAGCCCCCGATTCCCAGGCATGCGCTTTTAAGTATGAATAATAAGCAATATGTAGGCCGGGCTCTGTGGCTTATGCCTGTAATCCCTGCACATTGGGAGGCCAAGATGGGTGGATCACTTGAGCCCAGAAGTTTGAGACCGGCCTGGGCAACATGATGAAACCCTCTTTCTACAAGAAATACAAAAAAATTAGCTGGGTGTATTTCTCGTATTTCTACAAGAAATACAAAAAAATTACTACAGGTGGCACACACCTGTAGTACCAGCTACAGGGGAGGCTGAGGCAGGAGGATCACCTGAGCCCAGGAGGTCGAGGCTGCAGGGAGCCATGATCCCACCATTGCACTCCAGCCTGACAGAGCCAGACCCTGTCTCAAAACAAAACAAAGAACACAAAATTATGTGGGCATGGTGGTGGGTGCCTGTAGTCGCAGCTACTCAGGAGGCTGGGAGACGGAGGTTGCAGTGAGCCAAGATCCTGCCACTGCACTCCAGCCTGGGCGACAGAGTGAGACTCCGTCTCACAAAAAAAAAAAAGGAAAAGCACTATGTTTACCGTATAAATGCAGTTTTAAAACCTGTCTGCAGAGGCGACCCTATTTCTACTACCTCCTACAATCATGTTTATAGTTATGGAACATAACAGGTCAGGCAGTTAGTGAGCCTCAGTCCCACTTCCACCTTGACAAATAAACCTGTTCTATCTTACAATATTTCCGGTTGTTTTGTGGCTGTTGACTTTGCCTCCATGAGGAAATTAACTCCTATGGAGGGCACCTAGCTCGGCGTAGACCCGGTCGCTACCACCTGCGATGCCTTGGAAATGCAGCCGGCGGGGCCCACCTGTGGAGCCTGCAGACCGGAATCTCTGGTCTGTGTCCTAACCAGCCCTGCAGGTGATCCCCCGCAGGTGAAGGCTGAGAACCCCTGCGGTCCACGTTGGCATGCACCCAAGGCACAAGTCATTGAAAGCTAAATTTCCAGGTAACGGCCTCCTGGCACCTTAGACTTGCATTGCAGTTTTATTTTCTTTGGGGTCAAAGTTCAAATCTCTGTGTGCTGAGTGAAAGAGCTTCCGACGTTAAAGGCCAGACCAAGATCGAGTCCACTGCTACAGTAGGGCGCTCGGTGCCCACGTGGGCACCATTTCGAAGTCTATGGAGGGTCTACTTCGTGCGCCGCCGCCCAGTTCCACGAGCTAGTAGGGAACTGGCCCGACCCCGTGTCCGCCTGCAGGGGGCTGGCACTGGGGGAACTGCAGGAGTCAAGCCAGGGAAGGCCGGGGGTCTGGGCGAAGCAGAAGAGGAACAGGGCGGGGCCTGGGTGGGGCTGGCCGGGGCCTGTGGGGAGGGGGCAGGGCACGTGTTGGGTGTCTGGGCGGGGCCAGGCGGGGTCTTGGGGGGACAGGGGCGGAGCCTGTGGGGCGGGGGCGGGGCCTGTGGGGGCCTGGGCGTGGCGTCTAGGCAGGGCCAGGCGGGGTCTTGGCGGGATGGGGGCGGGGCCTATGGGGAGGGGCCAGGGCATGTGCGGGGTGTCTGTCCGGGGCCAGGCGGTGTCTTGGGGGGCCAGGGGCAGGGCCTGTGGGGCGGGGCGGGCCTGGCTTGTTGGGCCTGTGCCGGGTGTCCGGGAGGGGCCAGACGGGGTCTTGGAGGGGCGGGGCCGGGGCCTGTGGGGCGGGGCTCCTCTGGTCCCGCCCCGGCCACATCAGAAACCGCCGTTTGCGGGGCAGCCAATGAGGGCGTGGCGCGCGCCGCTTTCCGCCGTTACTGGGCGTATGGCGTACAGACACGAGGCCGGCGCCCGGGAGGCGGTGTTCATCCGCCCGGGAAAAGAGCGCCTGTTGCTCGCTGCCCGCGTGTCCCTGGCTCTCTCGGGAACCCAGCGCCGAAGGCGAGGTGGGCGCGGGCCGAAGGAGGTCCTGGGAGGTCGGCGGCGCGGAGGGATCTCCGCGGGAGCCGTTGGGGCTGTTGGCCTCGGGCTGAGGTGCAAGGACCAGGACTAGGGCGAGGGCAGCGGTCCAAGGTGCGGGGCCAGGCTGAGGTGCTAGGTGTGCGGGGGCCGGGATGCGGGGGCGGCGGCTGGGGGTCCGGGATGTGGAGGTGAGGCTCGAGGTGCGGGGACCGGGTTGCGGGGGCGAGGTCCCAGGTGCGGGGGATGCAGGAGCCGGGTGCGGGGTCGAGGTCCCAGGTGCGGGAGATGCAGGAGCCGGGTGCGGGGGCGAGGTCCCAGGTGTGGGAGATGCAGGAGCCGGGTGCGGGGGCGAGGTCCCAGGTGCAAGGGATGCAGGAGCCGGGTGCGGGGGCGAGGTCCCAGGTGCGGGAGATGCAGGAGCCGGGTGCGGGGGCGAGGTCCCAGGTGTGGGAGATGCAGGAGCCGGGTGCGGGGGCGAGGTCCCAGGTGCGGGAGATGCAGAAGCCGGGTGCGGGGGCGAGGTCCCAGGTGTGGGAGATGCAGGAGCCGGGTGCGGGGGCGAGGTCCCAGGTGCGGGGGATGCAGGAGCCGGGTGCGGGGGCGAGGTCCCAGGTGTGGGAGATGCAGGAGCCGGGTGCGGGGGCGAGGTCCCAGGTGCGGGGGATGCAGGAGCCGGGTGCGGGGGCGAGGTCCCAGGTTTGGGAGATGCAGGAGCCTGGGGTGCAGGGGCCGGGGTGCGGGGGCGATGTATCAGGTGTGGGGGGTGCGGGGCCGGGGGGAAGCGCTGAGGCCCGACTTGCCGGGGCTGTAGGGCCGGGGTGCGGGGGTGCAGGGGCCGGGGTGCGGGGGCGAGGTCCCAGGTGCAGGGGCCGGGGTGAGAGGCTGAGGCCTGAGTTGCCGGGGGTGCGGGGGCGGAGGTCTCCGCATTGGCGGCCGTGCGTGAGACTGCGGGGACCTGAGAGCTCTGCAGGAGGGCCTTCGGGACCTCCCGCACTACCCACGCGGCCGCGGGGCGCGATCTCTGCGGAGGGCGAGGGCCCCTTCCCGCGTCCGCCGCCGCTGCGCTGCGCCCCCGGGAGCCTTGGGAGCCGGACGTTGGGAAGAGGACGGAACTCCGGAGGACCCCAAGTGAGGCGGCGACCGCGACGGCCGGGCTCTGCGAGGCCCGGGGGTCCTCGCGGGTGCTGGCGGCCCGGCCCTTGGCACCTGTGGAGGGAAAGGGGCGGCGGGGCGGTGGCGTCCTGGGATGGATGCTCTCGCCGTCTTCAGCCCCGGCGGCCTCCAGGGCAAAGCCGGCTGCACCCCTGCGCAGCCTGTTCTCTGAGCGCTTTTCTTTTCGTTTTTAAGTTGTGGCCAGAGAGACCCCGCTCGCATAGAATGTACCGCTCAACGGTTTTTAGGCGTGTGGCGCGGTGGTGGTTCCCACGTGCACGGCGTGGTCCTGAGCTCAGCGCCGGAGGGACGTTAGGTGGAAGCGTCTTTGGCAGAGCTGGTAGCGAATCGGAGAGGTGATTTCCAGCGAGTGTGGTTATTGGAAGCACACACTTGCTTTCTGACTTTAAGAATTCAATATCCAGACTGAGGTGGTTTTGAAACTGGAAGGAGATAAAGCTGAAAACCAGAGTTGTGCTGGGAAACCTGGACGTAGAGCGCTGAGCCCCCCAGGTATTTAGTGACCAGCACAGCGCGCCGCCGTGGGTTTCAGGCCCTGGAGATGATGAGAATCAGCTGGAGGGCTGCTTCCAGTCGGCTTCTAACTCGGGAGGGCTGAGAGCCGCTCCCCACCCCGTAATTTCTGTTCCCAGCCAGTCCAGATGCTGCCCGTCAGGGACCAGGCTTTGAGAACTGACGTGCTGCTTTAGGAATATTTCCTGCTGGAGATGAGAGTTCAGCTTGTCACTGTTTTTTAATCACTGTTTCACACCGTTGTTTGTAAGGTGTCAAGCGACGGACTGGGTGCAAAGGCATCAATTGTGATTCGCAGCCTAGTTGGAGAAGCTATGGAGTGCAGAGATGTGGGGAGGGAGAAAACAGGTTACCATGTAGTAGGGTGACCGTGGTCACGCCGGGGAAACGGCTTTCGGAGAAGGGAGCAAGGGATGGCCTGCGAGCTGGTCCTTAAGCGGTTCACTGGATTCTTGTGGTTTCAGAGGAGGGTGAGGCTTTGTTAGCAGAGGGTGTGCCACGGTGTAGGGTGAGTCACGGAATTGATAGTGATAGGAAGCAAGTTGTGTTTGCTGGAGTCTCAAGCGGATGCTTTCAGATTGATTTGTAGATCAGCAGTCCCCAGTCTTTTTGGCACCAGGGACCGATTTCCTGGAAGACAATTTTTCCACGGACCGGTGAGGGATGGTTTCGGGATGAAACGGTTCCACCTCGGATTATCAGGCATTAGATTCTCATAAGGAGCAGGCAGCCCAGACCCTTGGCACGCCGACTTCACAGTAGGGTTCTCACTCCTAGGAGAATCTAATGCCTCCACTGATCTAACAGGAGGTGAGCTCAGGCTGTCCTGCTCACTCACTGCGGCTCACTTCCTGCTGTGTGGCCTGGTTCCGGTACAGGTCCATGGGGCGTGGGGGTTGGTGGTGGTGGTTGGGGGAGGGGGGGTGGGGGGAGGGGGGTTGGTGGTGGTGGTGGTGGTGCTGCTGCTGCTGCTGGGGACGCTGCCTGTAGATTATCAGTAAGAGACTTTCATGCGCCAGTATGCCCCGTGTGTAAGCCGAGCATGCATACGTAATCATTGTCATGATGCGCACATTATAAAATAAATACAAAGCAGTTTAAAATGAGATTTAAAATTAGTTGTAATATGCTGGCACCTCAGCGGATTATCCTGTGTAAACTCCTTTGGAAATTGCTGATTTAGAGTCATATTGTAAGGGGTCTTATACAATGAATATTTGCTTTAATCCTGTAAAATACAATAGGAAGTCGGAGGTTTTTAAAATTGAAAAATGGCATTAGATTTATCTTTCTGTGAAGATCATGAAGCCAAGAATTTTAGAAGCTGTTAAAACTCAGAGGATGAAAAAGATAATGTGATTTAAGGCAGAGTGATGGTAGATGATGTCATCGCCTGCCCCTATGTAGAACCTTGGATGGTTTCTCATGTGTTGAGTATCCAAGCTGTCTGCAGGACCCTGAGCAGTCTGCTCCCTGCCCACATGAAATCCTCCACTCCCCTTGCCCCTTCTCTTTCCAGTCCCACTGGACGTCTTTTGGTTCTGCATCCAGTTCAAGCACTTATGTGTGGGTTGTTACCGTTTGTGTGAAAGACTGGTACCACCCTACCTTCCAATTCCTAATTCTCTGTTTCAGCTTAAATCTTGTTAGAGGTGGATAACAAGGTGCAACAAGTGTTAGAGAATTCTACCAAAGATATTTTGGATTTATCCTAAGATCTAACTACTTCATATGAAAAAGATAACACTACTAGCATCCTGCCTTCGTGTAGTATTCTAAGAAGCTGACTTCAAGTTGCTTTTAAAGCTGTGTGTAAATAACGTGTATTAACACGTGTAGTTATAATTTTACCTGCCCTTTCCATTAGGGCTAATGTTTGTTGACTGCTCACTAGAGGCCAGTGTGAGTTCTCATTTGATCTTCACCATTGACTTGTGCAGTAGGTTATTCCAACCATTCGACAAAGAGTCACACGCTATGTTGTTTTCTCATGTTGTCTAAAATGTGAAGGAGTTGGGTTCAGGCAGTTGAGCTCTGAGGCCTCTACCCTTAATAGCCTGATGACATTGTGTACCACCACGATGAGGGTGAGAGATTGTTACAGCTGAGCCCAAAGCTGATCCCAGCTCACAGGAAGCACTTAGTACCATCATGATGTTGAAGAAATGGAGAGAACGGTCCTGGCAGATGTAGGAGAAATAAAGGAGTGGTTTTGAAATCAATGACTCCATTCTTTTTATTTAGATATAACGTATATGGTGATGCCACTCACCAAGAATGAAATTATGGGACATGAGGTAGAAGAGATACTAGTTTGGGTATGTTCAGTGTAAGCCACACATGGAACTCTGGGAAGATCCAGGATGACTCATTATGTATGCAGAAGGATTTTCTAAGGGGCCTGGCGGGACACTTGCCACAAGTGCCTGTTTCCGTGTGTGTGTGTGTGTGTGTGTGTGTGTGTGTGTGTCTGTGTATGGGAGTATGTGTTAAGTGTGTGTACATGTGTATCTCCAAATGGGAAAGAAAGAACCAGCCACCAGCATCCTAATTCTTTCAGCACTTTCTCCTCCTAAGTCTGTTTATAATAAATAATCCAAATGAAAAACTAAGTCTTATATTAAAATAGGTTTTCCCCTTTGGCCCTACTGCAGTGCCCAGTGCAAGGTAAGCAACTGAGTTTGTTGAATGTAGGAATGTTACATTAAAAAAAACTGTCATTAAAGATTAGAAGGATACATAATAATTGCCTGGGGAGCTTACTTTTGAAACTCAAAGAAGTTTAAAGTAACATTGTAGAAATTATCAAATGCGATTGCCTCCATTGAGTATTGTCTTCAAGATTGTTTCCTCTCCAGAAATAGAAAACAATGACTGGGAGAGCCCGAGCCAGAGCCAGAGGAAGGGCCCGCGGTCAGGAGACAGCGCAGCTGGTGGGCTCCACTGCCGTGAGTGCTTCACCGTTTCTGACTACAGAAAATGTCTTTGACTCTTGATCAGCCTAGGCTGTTGAAAATAAACTAAAAACTGTGCTGGGAAGGATATAGGAAGTGAGCAAGGGAGATCATGCCCTGTTTCCTCAGGATATTAGAAGCTGATTCGTGACTTTATTTGGTGACTCTTCTCTCAAATTTATTTTTAAGAATAAAATATTTGATTATTAATTTAGATAGGTGTTGGTTGAATTCCTGAGACTTAAGACTAGAAATTTTCTCTGGTGTCTGACCGCTTGACGAAAAGAATGTTCTTTATTTGCATGTAACTACAGAGTCAGCAACCTGGTTATATTCAGCCTAGGCCTCAGCCGCCACCAGCAGAGGGGGAATTATTTGGCCGTGGACGGCAGAGAGGAACAGCAGGAGGAACAGCCAAGTCACAAGGTGAAGAGAAAGTAAAAGGAAGTCTTAACAACTCTGTTCAACATATACAGCAAATTTTATTGAATTAAAACTTGGTACAAAAATTTGTGCTGAAACTGTTTAAGAAACATTTCCTTATAATGTTGCCACAACACACAAATCAATTGTGGAAAATACTTAAATATAATTTCTTAAACATTCTATGTATCAGTCTTCATTAATAAATGACTTAAAAAAATGGTTACTCAGGATTGCAAATTTAACTCTATGGAACAGTTCCCTATCTGTAACAAGGTAGTGTCTACCTGTAGAGGTAAAGATCATTGTGACCATTAATACATGGGATAACAAATGAAGGCCCTGTTTTGTCATCTCTCACTGCTCTTTAGGGATTATACCTGAGAATTGCTTGTCACGGTAAATGCTCAAATACCTAATGTATTGTAGAAATTAATATAAGTTTAACAGATTATTGTTAATTAGACATTGTTTGGACCTTGATTTTCATTCTGTAAAGGGATGTGGATGCATTGAAGGATTCTTTTTTTTTTTTTTTTTTTTTTGAGACGGAGTCTCACTCTGTCTCCCAGGCTGGAGTGCAGTGGCGCGATCTCTGCTCACTGCAGACTCCACCTCCTGGGTTCCTGCCATTCTCCTGCCTCAGCCTCCCGAGTAGCTGGGACTACAGGCGCCCACCACTGCGCCCAGCTAATTTTTTTGTATTTTTTAGTAGAGATGGGGTTTCACCGTGTTAGCCAGGACGGTCTCGATCTCCTGACCTCGTGATCCTCCCGGCTTAGCCTCCCAAAGTGCTGGGATTACAGGCGTGAGCCACCGCACCCGGCCCATTGAAGGATTCTTAAATAGCACAGTGGTGTGAGGTCTGATGTGTGTTTGAAATAAAATCACTCTAGGAGCTGCATGGAAGGGGGAATTAGCAAGGTTCCCAGTCTTGTCCATTCTGAAATCTGTCCTCTTCATCAAGTGACAAAATCAAGCTTTGGCTAAGTGTCATAGCAGTACTGTATATCTCAAGCAGAACTGATTTCATCATTGTTTATATTCAGAAACTGGCAATTGGATTTTTGCGTCCAGAACTGAATTTTTTTAAGACAAATTAAAAATTTTTAAGGAAAAATATCAGCCTTTATGACCCTTCAGTGTCATCAGGTTGGATTCAGTATGCGTGATTTAGTGTAGTTACTCACCCAGTGCCATCAATACTTCAAACCAAGCCTCTGGGATAAAAAGCTCACTGAGAGAGACAAGTATGAACAGTTACATGTTTAAAGGATTTTTAGGTAGAGCCCCCTCCAAATCATGAGGTACAGAAACAAACATGGAAGTGCCTTGTAAAGTGCTTTAGACGTGATATTTAAAACTTCTGACATGCCTGTGATGCTTATTCTCAATTTTTCAGGTGAAGGAATTGACACTCATATTAAATAACTGGTTTCCAAAGTATAGCAAGGACTGAAATATTTTAAGCCACTGTTATTTCTCTAAGGAAGTCTAGAGAGTAGGCAGTTCTGGTGTTTGTGGTCAGAAGAGAACTGGACTCTGATCTTTTTGTTCTTTTGTCCTGGGCTCATGACTGCCATCATTAAGACCTCTGTTTGGTTCAGAACTTCTGTATTTGAGCCCTCCCTGCCAGATCCAGATTCCAGGCTCCATGGGCAGGGCAAAGGGTCAGGAAGTACAAAAGTCACATGTCAGCTATTGGCTCTCTTATGGAATTTTTCCAAAAGTGTCATCCTGCAATTTCTGCTTAAGTATCTTAGGCCATCCCTAACCATGGGGAGGGTGGAAATTTTAGTCTATTAAGTATATTACTCCAAAAATAGAATTTATTTAAAGAATGAGGGGTTAGTTATTGGATAGTCAACTGGTAATCTCTTTTACACAAGATAACATGCCTATTAATTGACAGCTGGAATTTTAATGCTTGACTACAAAGTTCATATTTGTTTTTTGGCTCACATCAGATTGTTGATCTGAGATAATTGTATAATTTCAGCAAATCAAATGACTTGAATAATTTAGGTTCTTATAACCACAGCTTGTAGCACTAAGCATGAACTGATTAATCACGACCTTATTACCTATACCAGTATGAGATGCGTGTCATGGTCATAGAATATGTGCAGGTGCAGAAATCCATTCTTCTGATTCTGAAGAGAGTCAGGTAGTGAGGAAGTTGCATTTTAGATGTAAGTTTTCTAATCCAGGTTACAGATTTAAACCCTCTAAACCAGCAACTTCTGTAGTTGTAATTGCATCATGACAGACTGTGGAAAATACATGAAGACCTTTAGGTAGTTATCAGACTTACAATACAGAAAAATAATTTCCCAGTCAGCAAACATATGCTCCTGCACTCTTGCACCACAGTCCAGTTGGCTTGATCTCTTGATTCAAGGTGCACATCTCTTGAAAGGGTGCATCTGCAATTGCCCAGGACAGTGACAAGGCCTTTATGAATGAAGTTATAACTAGGAAACCATTCTCTCGTTAGGCTGGCAGATACCTAAAACATGTTGATAGGATTGTTTTATGCCTTGTCTTCTACACCTCAGTATCCTTTGGATTACACATAATAGCACTATGGGAGTTAATATTGTCATCCTTTATTTCGTGCTTTATGTTGCTCAAGTACACAATTTTTTTTTAAGGACTCCAGATATCTGCTGGATTTCAGGAGTTATCGTTAGCAGAGAGAGGAGGTCGTCGTAGAGATTTTCATGATCTTGGTGTGAATACAAGGCAGAACCTAGACCATGTTAAAGAATCAAAAACAGGTAGGTTAATTAAGAATAAGTTTTGTGAGATTACATCTCAGGAACACAGGACAGTGAATTGAGGCACTTTAGTTTAGGTGTTTATTTGGCCAAGGATCCTGCATGGCTTTTCGATTTTCCTCACTTTCTTTTGGCGTTGATGAAGTAGGTTATAGATATCTTTAACTGCACATTTTGAAACGTCATCTCATTAAATATTAATAGATCATTTTTAAAACTCTTTGCCATGAAGAGATTTAGTTGGTTTTGTTGCAAATTATTTGTAAATTACTTAGTCTAAGGAAGATTTGTTTCTAAATGTATGCTTCTTTAGAAATTCACCTAAAGAGAGAGACTAGTGGTCTCCAAAGTCAGATGTCTGAGGACTTTCATGTTGTCTGCTGCTCTTAGCCTTGTGTTTACGGAACTGTGCCTGCCTTGTCATGGTAGGAAAGATTTCAAGGAAAAATAAACTTGATATTTTGTTAATTGACTATAACTTCCTTTTCCAGGTTCTTCAGGCATTATAGTAAGGTTAAGCACTAACCATTTCCGGCTGACATCCCGTCCCCAGTGGGCCTTATATCAGTATCACATTGACTATAACCCACTGATGGAAGCCAGAAGACTCCGTTCAGCTCTTCTTTTTCAACACGAAGATCTAATTGGAAAGTGTCATGCTTTTGATGGAACGATATTATTTTTACCTAAAAGACTACAGCAAAAGGTTATTTGGGAAAAGGGAGATGGGGGATTTCCACTTCAAAGCAGAACTACCACAATGTAAGATAGCTCACATGGCTTTTAGAGAGGCCCCAGGAGTCTCCTGTCTGATATGACTTGGAATAAACACATAGGGTACTTTGGCATTATTGTAGCATTGTCAGATTTGTCTGGGTAACTTGATGATTACAATTGAGTTATAATACACTTAGCCACTCTTTTTCTCAGAGCCATTTAAAAAAAATCCAGTTAAAACATTTTATGGTTTTCAATGTTGCCTTATTAAGCAAGCAGTATGTGATTGGGCATAATTGTCCTTTAAGGATTTAAAGTTTGGGTTTTCCACCTCTCTGGCTTCAGGTTACTGAAGTTTTTAGTAAGACCCGGAATGGAGAGGATGTGAGGATAACGATCACTTTAACAAATGAACTTCCACCTACATCACCAACTTGTTTGCAGTTCTATAATATTATTTTCAGGAGGTATGTGTTTTATTTCAACATTTTATTAAGAAAACAGCAAAGTTGAAATAATTGTACATTGAACATCTGCATTCAGTTCTCCTAGATTTTCAGCATTGGTTGGGATTATTGAGTTTCTCTGTATTGCAGTAACTTAAGGTGTGGTTTACTGATAGAAAATTCATCTATTTGCTTTAAGCAAGTATCCTGCCTTTACTTCCCTAATTCTGTTGACTTCAAATACTGTCTGAGCTTGTGTTCAGAACACTCATATCCTCGAGAGCTATTGCGAACTTGGTATTCCTTCTCCCCACGGTGGGTCCTTGATCAGGAGGAGGTGCAGAGTTCAGGTCGTTTGTTCCACCACAGGAGATATACTGCATGCTTGATAATTTGCTTTCAGTGTACATATCACATATTTCCTATCCAAAAGCAAGACACGTGTTCTGCAAAAATTTTTGTTTTTTGAGGGGGATGAGAAACAATCTGGATAAGGCTGAAATTTTCGTGAGAATAGTAGGGCATAATACTTGTATCTGTAATTTCCCTCTTTAAGTTAGTCATAAGATAACTGTCACTGATGATAGGACAATTCATTGTGATAAATACTTGTTTTGAGTTAATGTAACTGGTAAATTGATTTTTCCCTAAACGAGGGGTTGGCAAACTTCTCTCTGCAAAGGGCCAGATAGTAAACATCGTAGGCTTTGAAAGCCATGTCATCTCTTGGCAGCTCTTCAGCTCTACTACTGGACCGCCGAAACAGCCAGACACAGCGTGTGAGTGAGCGGTCATGGCTGTGTGCCAGTAGAACTATTGGTGGATGCTGAAGTCTGAATTTCAGATAATTCATGTATCATGAAATAATCTTTTATTTTTTCCAACCTCAAAGATATTTGAAAACCGTTGGTAACTCATAGGCCATAAAAAACAGCAGGTAGGTTGGATTTGGCCTGGCTACAGACCACAATTTGCCAACCCCTGCTCTAAACGACATGCTGTTCTGATTGTCGTATTAGAGATACTTATCAATATTCACTCTCTGACCTTTCCATTTCTAGGCTTTTGAAAATCATGAATTTGCAACAAATTGGACGAAATTATTATAACCCAAATGACCCAATTGATATTCCAAGTCACAGGTTTGTATGAAGTAGAACGTTTAATATTCCTTAGGCTTAATGACAGACTTTTGAGACGATAACCTAATTTGAAATGGTCAAATTTACTACAGTGACTGTTAATGCCGCCCATCACATTATGTGACTATTTAACTTGAATAATGAGGAGACATCCCAGAATATTTGGATTTTTAAAAAATCACGTAATTTACCTGTCACTAGGGAAGAATACATAGTTGTCCAGTGCTGTTTGTATTTTTGCCCTTAGGTAATAAAAATAATCAGTTAATGTGGTGTATCAAGATTGCAGCCCAACTGAAAAACCACCTGCTGGGTATTGTGCTCCGTGCCTCAGTGATGGGACCACTCATCCCCCAGACCTCAGCATTATGCAGTATGCCCATGTCACAAACCTGCACGTGTGCCCCTTGAATCTAAAGTTGAAATAAGAAATAAAAGGCCGGGCGTGGTGGCTCATGCCTGTAGTCCCAGCACTTTGGGAGTCCAAGGCGGGTGGATCACGAGGTCAGGAGTTCTAGACCAGCCTGGCCAAGATGATGAAACCCCGTCTCTACTAAAAATACAAAGATTAGCCGGGTGTGGTGGCTGGCACCTGTAATCCCAGCTACTCGGGAGGCTGAGGCAGAGAAGTGCTTGAACCCGGGAGGCGGAGGTTGCAGTGAGCCGAGATCGTGCCAACTCCAGCCTGGGTGACAGAGCGAGACACTAAGAAAATAAATAAATAAAAAACAAAATATTGCAGCCCAACAGGTTTAAGTTTATCATAATAATTGTGGTGCTTTCAATTAGATTGGCAACTTTTTAAAAGTCTTAGGCCAGTGTAATGAATAGCTGAATAAAGTTAGTACATTCATTTAAAATGAAACTTATACAATTATTATAATGTTGTTGAAGGTCTTAAAGCTGGAACCATGTAAATCCTAGAAATAAGGAAATTGATTCATTCAGAAACTTTATAGTTTAGACCCAGTTAATAAAAGTGAAAACGCAACTTAGTGTGTGCAGAATGTGTTGAATGTGGAGAGGTTCTTCATGACCCCCATCTCGTCTGACAGGTTGGTGATTTGGCCTGGCTTCACTACTTCCATCCTTCAGTATGAAAACAGCATCATGCTCTGCACTGACGTTAGCCATAAAGTCCTTCGAAGTGAGACTGTTTTGGATTTCATGTTCAACTTTTATCATCAGACAGAAGAACATAAATTTCAAGAACAAGTTTCCAAAGAACTAATAGGTTTAGTTGTTCTTACCAAGTAAGACTGCTTTTTAAAGTGCACAATAATTTTTTGTGAGTCAAAGTATTGTGGCTTTCTAGTTCTACCATGTTAAGAAATAGTGTTTAAAATTGAGTGGTGGGAATAGCACAAAACAAGGGTGAGGGTATTTTTCAGCTTTCCCAGGATCATAGTTTTGGAGATGACATAACTCATCTGGAGAGGACAAATAGCTAGTGATTTTTATCCTTTTAAATTATTTTATTTTCTGTAAGTAATTTAGTCACTTCCCCCATCCATCTGGCATAGTCTGTAAGAAACCCTGTTCCTTCTTTTTCCAACCTTGTATATAACCAGGTGATTTGAAATTTTAGAGAATACATGCTGTCTAGTCTCTCTTTTTAATATTAGTTCTTCACATTTCCATCAAATGCAGTCAAATCTCAACTGATCCCTAGGTATAACAATAAGACATACAGAGTGGATGATATTGACTGGGACCAGAATCCCAAGAGCACCTTTAAGAAAGCCGACGGCTCTGAAGTCAGCTTCTTAGAATACTACAGGAAGGTAAGATGCCAGTGGTTAGATCTCAGGAGAAATCCAAAATATCTTTGGTAGAATTCTCTAACACTTGTTGCACATTTGGAACAAGTTGCGTTTAAAGCTGTGTGTAAATGTATTTGTTAGGGCAATCACAGCATAATTTTATTCATTACCAAATTATTAAAATGCCTCTTTTTATTTGGTACAGTTCACATAATGAGAAATGCCCTCTCCTGGTTCCCTTTTTCCAGTAGAATGAAAGCTTACGTTTGAATTGAAGCCTATGGAGGACAAGTAGGTTGGATAACAGGTGGCGAGCAGTGGGAGTTAAGAGCTTGCCATACTGTCTCTCCCTCCATAATCAACATTTCATTTAATTTCACCTTGGAGACGGGTAGGAATTAAAGATCTTTGAACCTTCAGTATCATTTCTGCTAAATCTACTGCCTGTGGGTTAACTCTTAACTTTTGATTTACATGTTAACAAAATGCAGACAGGCTTGTTAGCACAGGCTAGATCAGTCTTTTGGGCGATCATCTAAAACAGTTTTTAAAGAGATGATTCTAGTTTTGAAAAGATCATCAAAGGCAAATAGCAGGAAAGAGCAGCTATTGACTAGAAGAAACTGAACTGTTCATGTAAGAATGCATGCTAACATTGTTTCAGTACTCAGATGAGCAGATCTGGCCCCCAAATCCTTAGAACGTCACATTCCATTTGATATGTTAAAAGCGCAGGAAGATTATTTCTAGAAAACTATCAATTAAAATCTCAAAACTTGTCTTTGAATTGCTAACATTTCACATTTTCTTCTACTTTCAATAGAGTATTTCCTGTTTCTAAAAATTTGGATAAATGAGCTTAAATATGAAAAGTATTCATATTTTGCATGGAAAGTATGCATCTTATCAGTGGCCTTGGAAAGGTCTGTGTGCTGCTGTCCAGCTGCTCTGCTGTGACTAAAAAGATGAGAAGCCACTACGGAGGGAGGGATTCTATGAGACGCTGCATGAAGGGCTGACCTTATTCCTGGCAAGATGGAAACAGCCAGGGGTCATTTCAGCATGTCTTTCCTCCCACTGTTTTCAGCCTCTTTACTCCTTGAGGACTCCAACCATGCCTAACCTGGATCCCTCTGGGTGTCAGAGGTTACTGTGAGGAATGAGTTGTGGCATTTTTCTGTCGTTAATTTTAGTGATCACTCTCAGGGATGGTAGAAGTTGGTATATCAACAGCAAATATAAAGGAAACATTAGCTGAAAATGTGATTTAAACCTGAAGCAAGGTCAGTGGAACCTCTCCCCTTCCCTGACTGGTACTGAGTGTCCTGTGGCAGCTCATCCTCCTGTAAGTGGTGTTTTACGTGTTATCATACTTAGGAGCTCTGCCCAGACCCCTTTTACTATATGTTCACTCCCTGGGTGATTTCCAGTCTCCTCTGCCCAGGCTTCAGGCATGAAATGTTAAGAATCCCCAGACTTCCAGTTCCAGCCTAGACTTGTCTAAGCTTAGCTGCCTGGTTGTTCTTAAGTATTTGGATGACTCAAAGATACCTCTCCCATGTTGCCAGTGTTGAATGTGTTCTGTCTTCTCAACACGGCCCCTACTCGGTGCTCTTGGTCAATGCAGATAAGGTAACTTGGACAGAGGCAAGAGATTTTATGGTTTATATACCCCATGCCTAAGTAGGTTCTTGGGTATTTGAATAAACAAATGGTGGATGAGTCACACGTCAGATCTCCGCACCTTCCCCTGCCTCCTAGTACTCTTTTGTCCGGTTCTGTCACTCACCTTGTTATCTGAATTGCCTTCATTTTTCTCCTTTTCTAAATGGCATCTCCTGTCCAGGCCCTATTTTTATAATTCATTTAACAAGTCTTAGTATTTATTTCCTCTACCTTCTGATCAATCAACTCATACACATCTGTTCTTCTTCTTCCCCTTCCCCCCAGAAGTGATGTGGCACCCGTGGCCCTGTGTCTGGTGAAGTGTGGTGATCTTTCTCCATGAGACCCTGCTTGCTGCTTTATTCTCATGGCGTGTCCCCCACTGTGCCTTTAGACTAAACATAGGGTTGTGTCCCCTCTGTTGGACACACCTTGTATGCTTATGCTTGAGATCTCAGCTCAGCTTCTTTCTCTAGGGAAGATTTCTCTGGAAATCAGGGATAATCAGATGTCTTTAGTAGAAATAATTAATGAAAGAGGTTGACGTTAAGATATTTAAAAGAATCAAAGCCTTCTTAGATTTTCTGGTAGAAATGCAGTTTTACTAGTAAGTGATGGTTTGGGATTGAAGATAATATCTAGGAAACAGAGTAGAAGAAGGAAGGGTGTTTGGTAGAGAAGGTCATAGTTGGTTTTTAAAATAAAAGGTTTAACAGTAATGTCTAATAAAAATGAGAGTGCTGTTTTTTCAGGTGTAGAGGAAAATGTTTAAAAATATTTGACAGGGCCAGGCACGATGGGTCATGCCTGCAATCCCAGCACTCTGGGAGGCCGAGGTGGGTGGATCACCTAAGGTCAGGAGTTTGAGACCAGCCTGACCAACATGGTGAAACCTCGTCTCTACTAAAAATACAAAAATTAGCTGGGTGTGGTGGCATATGCCTGTAATTCCAGCTACTCGCGAGGCTGAGGCAGGAGGAATCGCTGGAACTCGGGAGACGGAGGTTGCAGTGAGCCGAGACAGCACTCCAGCCTGGGCGACAGAATGAAACTCTGTCTCAAATAAATAAATGAATGAATGAATGACAGGCTGTTTGGCACCTAAGAATATAAAAGTGGAGGGGGCGTAGCGAGTACAAGTTCTGTATCAGGAACCATGCCCTTAAGGCCTTGGGTGAAATAGGGTGAGAGAGGACACATTTCTGAAATTACGACCACACTTCTACCACCTGTGTTTGCAAGTCAGTGATGTGGTGTGGAGGGTAACTGTTCCCAGACTCCTCATTTTAAAATGTGATAAAATAGGTAGTATAGCTACGTGAAGCAGAGGTCAGATGTGAGTGTTCTACTTAAAATTTTCTTATTTGAAACAAGTCAAGAACGGGCTAGAATTCATGGTTTCTTAATTCACGAGGGCTTGTAGTAGGTGGCCAGGACCTTGCCATATGCTAGGAATAAGAAATATGCAAGCACCCTTAGTCTGCTGATGAGAGACAGATTAAGGACATGCTGTGATGATGTTCCTCTGGTGTGCTCAGGGAAATGTGTGGTTTGTTCTTCTGGTGTGCTCAGTGGAGATGTGTGTGTGGTTTTTTGTTCTTCTGGTGTGCTCAGTGGAGGTGTGTGGTTTTTTGTTCTCCTGGTATGCTCAGTGGAGGTGTGTGTGTGGTTTTTTGTTCTTCTGGTGTGCTCAGTGGAGGTGTGTGGTTTTTTCTTCTGGTGTGCTCAGTGGAGGTGTGTGGTTTGTTCTTCTGGTGTGCTCAGTGGAGGTGTGTGGTTTTTTTGTTCTTCTGGTGTGCTCAGTGAAGGTGTGTGGGTTTTTTTTTTTTAAAGCTGGATCTGATTTAAGCAGGATGCTAAGAAAATCTGTTTTTGGCAAGATACAGGATATGGTAGGAAAGAGGATCTTTGAGACACAGAGCCAGAACCTGTACTGAAGAGAACTCAAACAAAGTCTGTCATGGTTCTAGAATTGCCGAACTGAGCTGGAGGCCAGAGAGCTCATCTTTTGAGGACATTAAATCATGAATATTGGCTGGGTGCCGTGACTCACGCCTCTAATCCTAGCACTTTGGGAGGCTAAGGCAGGCAGATCACCTGAGGTCAGGAATTGGAGACCAGCCTGGCCAACATGTTGAAACCCTGTCTCTACTAAAAATATAAAATTAGCCAGGCACGGTGGTGTGCACCTGTAATCCCAGCTACGCAGGAGGCTGAGGCAGGAGAATCACCTGAACCCGGGAGGCGGAGGTTGCAGTGAGCCAAGATCATGCCACTGCACTCCAGCCTGGGTGACAGAGCGAGACTCCATCTTCAAAAAAAAAAAAAAAGAATGTCATTTTTTATTGTTTAACAAATTGTCAACGCTTATTTTGGGCAGTGATTGCATCTGGGGAACCTTAACACTTCTCAATTGAAATTTGACTTCTTGAAAATATCAAGATTTTATAAAAAACTTTTTCTGATTAAACCTGCCCTGTAGCGTAGGAACTTCTTCCTTTCCCCTCTGTATTCTCACGGTGAGACTGCTTTTATTAGTAAGTTCTCTCAGTAACAGAGAATAGTTTTAGAGGAATCATCCTATGGTGAAGTTGCAGAGTTACACAGACTACTGTTTCTAAACCAAGAAATAAAAAATTAAGCAATGAGAACTGTGACTAACAAAGTCTGAACTCAGAACCATACTGTCCTGGACCATCACAGTTTTTAGGAAAAAGATAGGGCACTCAGTAGAGCATAGAAGTCACAACCTCTGTTTTAAGAATGTTAAAAAAAATGCCTTTTTAAAACTTTACTCTGAAGCTATTATCAGCCTTGCTATTGGCATCAGCTCTTTATTTTTTTAAAAAATGAAACCCTTTTTGCCCACTGAGATGCTACTCGAGGCATTTGCCGTGAACAGCGACCCTTTCGTCTCTTGAGCAGCAATACAACCAAGAGATCACCGACTTGAAGCAGCCTGTCTTGGTCAGCCAGCCCAAGAGAAGGCGGGGCCCTGGGGGGACACTGCCAGGGCCTGCCATGCTCATTCCTGAGCTCTGCTATCTTACAGGTACTGTTGCATTTCATTTACTCGGAAGGAAGCCACTGGATTTACCCTTTCTTTCCTAGGAGTCCTCAGACATTCCTTTACTTCCCCTTCCCTCCCCCCAGAAAACCTTTTATTAAAACTGCTTTGTCTCCTGGGAATTCCCACTCACCATCACCCTATACTCCAGTTATTTAGACCTGATTATTATTTCTTTAACCATATGCCTTTAAATGTCTTATTTAAAGGTCTAACTGATAAAATGCGTAATGATTTTAACGTGATGAAAGACTTAGCCGTTCATACAAGACTAACTCCAGAGCAAAGGCAGCGTGAAGTGGGACGACTCATTGATTACATTCATAAGTAAGTCATTGATTTCACTGGGGCAGGGTTTCAGTTTTGTGTTTAGTATTTTATGTGGCTTTGAGGGGTATCTTTTGAGGGAGTGGCAGAAAGTAACTTTCTCCTTTGGTATCTGTAGTATTTGGGGTGGGCTTGTTCTTCGTGTTTCTAAGCAAGGCTACCTATACCTCACTTATTCCTCAGGAAATAATGAAGTTAAACTTTGCAGTGCGTAGTCTTTCTAACTCTTCCATTAGCAAAAGGTGACAACAGAAAAAGGGGATGTTTCTGGTCAAATCTTTTTTCTATCTTTGTTATATCAAGGGGTTTCCTTTGACGGGGAGAAAGTTTGGGCATCAGAATTTTAAGTTAAAGAATGTCATGAAGAGAAGCCTGAAGGTGATGAGAGAAAGATGATTGTGCTCCTGTGCCAGCTGGCATTCTCACCAGCGCCTTCACCCTGACGGCGACATTGGAGTGTGTTGTAGGCTGGAGTGGATATCTGTTTGACTGTGTCTTCTTGCTGTGTCTCTTTGTTGAGTCGCATGTAAATGTGTTAAATTTACAGAAACGATAATGTTCAAAGGGAGCTTCGAGACTGGGGTTTGAGCTTTGATTCCAACTTACTGTCCTTCTCAGGAAGAATTTTGCAAACAGAAAAGATTCACCAAGGTGGAAAAACAGTAAGGCAGTTTTTCGTTGGTGTTGTTGTTGTTTTTGAGACGGAGTCTCGCTCTGTCCCCCAGGCAGGAGTACAGTGGTGCAATCTCAGCTCACTGCAAGCTCCGAGTAAGGCAGTTTTTAAAGTTGACAATCAAGTGAGGCTTGGGTCAGATCACAATAAAGCAAGTGGGAAGAACTGAGTTCCATGCCAGAATGATCTTTTCCTCACCTTTCTCTTCTCCCCTTGCACATCCACTCTCTATCAACCCACATGAACAGCCCGGGACCTCAGAAATAGGTACACCCCAGGAGGAGAAAACGTGGAAGCCCTAGAGAATGTGGAGCCTGTAGCTGGGTCCTCAAAAATCATCTGTAAGACTTAGCTAAAAAGTGGTTCGATTTTTTTTTTTTTCAATAACTTGAGCTAAAGTGTAGAATCCTAACTATCTGCTTGGGTTGATATTTTGACTGCCACTAAAATGATGGAAAATCCCTGATTTGATTGGCCTGGATCATTTGTTTATAGAGATAATATATTAATTATTATGATACCTTTTATGTTTCATTTTCAGAAAAGGAAAAGTATTCTAAAAATATTTTTAGTGTAATTAAAGCACTGTAAAGTGCCAACATTTTCATTTTTTTTTTTTTTTAAGAAAATGTCCTTCCTGCCTTTGAAATGTCCTGTGAACAGTGATCTCACAATGTAATTTAATATTCTGGTTGCATTGTTTACGCTATCCCCTGCGTGAGGCCAGGCAGGGAGGTGGCCAGGACACGCAGAAGACACCGGGCTGCTCCCTGTGATGACCAGCACTCGGGTGCTGTGCCTCGCGTTTATTTCACTTTCTGTCTTGCTGTCAGATGTTTTTGTAGCTTGCTTGCGGCATATAACACCTCAGTCAAGTTGTTTTACTCTCAAAGCCTTATTTTTTAATATTTTCATTATGAAGAAAGAGTAGCTATACTTGTAAGATTTTTTAAAAGATTAAGGAGAATGCGACTAAAGCACTTAGGGAAGTACCTGGTCCAAGTAAGCATTTGTGTGGCAGCTGTCAGTATGAGTGTATTTTAAGTAAAATTGCCATCATCCTTTGGATATATTTTAGAGTCTACCCCCATTGAGGACATTTTCTCTGTCCCTTTAATTCAAGCATAAAAGTAGTACACTAAGTTTCAAAATATGCCATGGTAGAATTATTGAAGACTGTTTGGCTTGATCACTGAGAACTTACAATGGAATTTACAGTGTGTCTGAACTCTCTTCTAGTTTGATTACAATCCACAATTTGCAGATTGGTCCAAAGAAACAAGAGGTGCACCATTAATTAGTGTTAAGCCACTAGATAACTGGCTGTTGATCTATACGCGAAGAAATTATGAAGCAGCCAATTCATTGATACAAAATCTATTTAAAGTTACACCAGCCATGGGCATGCAAATGAGAAAAGCAATAATGTAAGTTAATCAAGTCATTTCTGCTCTGAAAATTGCTTGGCAGTCATTTGGAGGGGTGGGAACTATTAAACATACAAACTACGTTATCTTAATTGAAAGGTTTGATGTGGCTCCCTGTAATGCAGATAAACAGAAACATATTTTAATAACTAAGAATGGGTGGGAGAAGCAACCAAGTAAGACAGTTTCTGAAACCTGCGTGCTTAAAATATTGCTCGTTTGTATTAGAAACAGCCCTTGGCATGAATGGCTAGTCTCGGTGTTTGATTTCATGTTTTATACGGAAACGTTTCCTGTGTTACACAGGAAGGTGTTTATGCACGGTCCATTTGTCGCTACTGTGTCTGAGTGTTGGATTGTGTACTTTCATTCTAGGATTGAAGTGGATGACAGAACTGAAGCCTACTTAAGAGTCTTACAGCAAAAGGTCACAGCAGACACCCAGATAGTAAGTAACTAATTGACATATAGGCAGTTTTCGGTGAAAGAGCTTTTTCAAAGGGGGCATGTGTACATTTTGGAACTTGGAGTTCTTTTTTCAAATGTTAATAGGTTCTCAAACTAGGCACAAAATATGTTTTGTAACCATAAAGTAGCTAAGCTAATGCTAGCTTTAGTTGTGCACCTAGGAGTTTGGTTTACATACTGCAAAAGGTGAGGAAGGGGTGGAGAAAAACAAAGCCATCTTCAATTTATTCAGACCCAAAGGCTTTACTTAGTCTAGAAAATTTGGAAAATACAGAAAAGCACAGAGGTAAAAATCAGCTGTTGTTCGGCACACGTAGACGTATGATTGCGTAATTACATGGAAGCTCCCCAGACAGCCTAGTGCCAGGTATGGGAAGAGTAGGGTCGCAGAGAGCAGGGAGCCCTGAGTGACACTCAGCAGCTTGTCAGCTTCCGCATGCATCCACATCACCCCGAGGGGTCGGGATAGGGATGCAACCACTCTCCTAAGCTCTTTCCCCTTTTACCTGCAAACGTGTTGTTGTTGTGTGTGCTTCACCCACCCATCCAGGTGAGTGAGTGATGACTCAGGAGGGGAGGACTGAGTCCCGAAGAGCCCATATGCCTGTTTGCCAGAGTCTCGCTACCTAGCGTGGGTGTGTGGGAGGTGCAGAGGGTTAGGAATTGGAGACAGGGACGTTAGATGATGGCAGCCACTTAATGACGGGTGGTTTTCATTGGTGATCTGAAATTGTGGGGACATGCAGCAAGTGTGTGTTGTGGTTTCATTTTTGTTGTAATCTGTAGCGCAGTTATTAAGAGGGTAAACTCTGAAATCAAACCCCTGGGTTCACATCCCGGCTCAGCCATTTGCCTGATCTTCATCAAGTGCTTCTGGCTTTATTTCCTTTTCTGAACAGATTTAGGTGGTAGTAATAATAGTAGTGAACCCTCACAGCACTTCTGAAGTTTAATGGCGGTGTCATGCCCGGCCCCTCCCTAGTAGCCCAGGACATGTTAATCACTGTTGCTGCTGCCGCCACCAGTCAGCTCCTCAAACTCAGCGAGTCTGAGTTAACTCTTCATTTTCCCAATCCCATCAGTGTTTTGAATTATTCAGGGGAAAATTACCCCCCTTTTCTCAAGCTAGTTTTTTAGGCTGTCAGGTATGTCTTGACTTCACTGTTTGTCCAGCTTTCTATAAATTGTTGGTTAGAAACTGTCCGTCACTCTCGCACACTGCTCTCTAGTACAAGGCCATCTGCCTCGTTCCTGTCGCGTCCCCAGCACTGAGAACAGGGCCTTCTATATTCCAGGCACCAGCATGTTGTACGACTATGGCCTGTCGTTGTTCACCATGGTGTGCTTTAGGCGTGGTCAGGCTGCCATCCTGCTCATCCTCTCTCTCATGCACACACCCCTGCACACACTTCTGACACACTTTTCTCAAACTTGCCTTTGTGTTTTCCAGCAAAGTTTTCAACTTGAAAGCTTTCTAAGTTATATTTCTTCTCTAACACTCCTCCCACCCCTGAAATTCTATCAACATTGATATGGTTGTTTTTGGTCTGTATCTAGAGTGTAGCCTTTATAAACATGATAGCAGTGCCATAGTTTTCTTGTAAGTCCACACACCCAGCCTAATGTAGCAAAATAGAGCCAGACTCATTGTCAGGGAACTCCGGAGTTGTCCAAGTCTTAATCACATTTGGTCTAGAATCTCCTTTGCATTCAGTCTTTGTCCAAGAACTTGGAATTGTGGCCTCAAGACTTCCTGGTCCATAGTGGAAGAAAGTAGGGCTTAGACATTTACTTTGCAGAAGTGAAAGCACAGCCGAGCCAAAGACCATGACCCCTGAAGAGCTTTCTTTGCACTCTACACCCCCATGCCCTGTTCCCATAACCATTCCCTGCCCTGCTCTTGCTGCCATGAGCCCCTGGGTGTTGGGGAGGGTGTCTCACAAGTAGTCCTTTTATTCAGGTTCTCTCAACTTGTCCAGTTTGAATATTCCATCTATTTTATTGGGGCCCTGCCTGATAAAATCTCCAAGACAAGTACTTCAGCTCTCCTTATTTTTAGCAGAGTTGGTTGGTTATTGTTAGAAAACTGACATACAAAGGTCATAGTAGCCTGGGACTGTAGTGGGTGATACATAGAAGTTCAGTCAATTCCTATTGCTTTTTATACCTGTAGCATAAAATTGCCAGAGATCTGCTGAGGGAACATGGAACTTGCAAAAGATAGAATGACAATATGAGATTAAGATGTAAGTGGTAAGGAAAATTATGATAGGTTCTACTATTATGTCATTATGATTGTAAAGTAGGAAGGGAAAAATGACATGCATGTGAACAATAATTAGTTCAGCGATTTCACTGATTATTAGGCATTTATATCCTTGGCTATTTTAAAAACAAGTTGAAAGTACATATCTAGTTCACAGGAAACATTCTGAAGACAGCAGCACATTGTGGGGTATCGAGTGCTAGGATGAGTTTCTTCTGCCCCGTTGAGTTTTCATACAGCCACATTGCAATGAGTTGGCAAAGACAGATTTAGTGATAAACAATACATCTGTGTTGCCATAAGCCTAAGAAATGAATTGGCTTCTTCTAATGTGTTCATTATTTTAGCCCTTCATGTCACACTTTAGATCCCACAGGCAGATAGCTATTATGTTATCTGGGTAATGGAAACACCCAAGGTGGGAAAATTATTTTGCTGGGCACTATAAAAAGGGAAGAGAAGAATCTGGGAATATAAATTGGAGAACATGGCAATGAGTTACAAGCTGGATTCAGGCCAGGCGTGGTGGCTCACACCTGTAATCCCAGCACTTTGGGAGGCCGAGGCAGGCGGATCACAAGTCAGGAGATTGAGAACATCTTGGCCGACACAATGAAACCCCATCTCTACTAAAAATACAAAAATTAGCCAGGCATGGTGGTGCGAACCTGTAGTCCCAGCTACTCTGGGGGCTGAGGCAGGAGAATCAGTTGAACCTGGGAGGCGGAGGTTGCAGTGAGCCGAGATCGCACCACTGCATTCCAGCCTGGGCAACAAGAGCAAAACTCCATCTCAAAAACAAAACAAACCAAACTCCCGAAAGTTAAACTTGGATGCCCAGAATTGGGGCAGGGGCATGTTGAGATCAGGCGCTCTGTTTTGTCCCCAGAATTGTCCATGGACCTCCTGTGGAAGTTCATAGTTTGATCAGATTCTCAATCCAGAGCTTTAAAGCTTACAAGTTACAATTGTAGATGAATCATGAGTAAATTAAGACTGTGGGAAATCTTTAATCTGTCTACCTGTCACTTGTCACTAAATTTTTCTGTGCTGGTTACATAGAGCATATTTAAGTTCTCAAGTTTAAACAGTATTCAGTTTTGACTCATAGTTTGCTTAACATGATTTATTTCCTTCACGTGCAATTATCATTTAGTTGAACATGATGAGCAGTATTTGTTAATGTCCTACTGATTAGCTGTGTGGCTGAAATGAATAGTAAAATAAATGATCATGTTCTTGACATTGATACTTCACAGGTGAGTTTAGTTTCCTGTCCTCTCCCTTGCTCTTAATCATCTGTCTCCTAATTCTTTGTAACAAGGGCACTTTGTTTTCAGGTTGTCTGTCTGTTGTCAAGTAATCGGAAGGACAAATACGATGCTATTAAAAAATACCTGTGTACAGATTGCCCTACCCCAAGTCAGTGTGTGGTGGCCCGAACCTTAGGCAAACAGCAAACTGTCATGGCCATTGCTACAAAGATTGCCCTACAGATGAACTGCAAGATGGGAGGAGAGCTCTGGAGGGTGGACATCCCCGTGAGTTTGATTTAATTGGTAGATGCCGTTTTAAAATTGGTATTTAAGAACATGGATTTACTTTTTAAATGTTGCTGGTACTCCATTGTATCTAAAATTACCATATTTGTATTGAAGCTGAAGCTCGTGATGATCGTTGGCATCGATTGTTACCATGACATGACAGCTGGGCGGAGGTCAATCGCAGGATTTGTTGCCAGCATCAATGAAGGGATGACCCGGTGAGTGAGACTGGGCTACTGTGGGTGGCAGTGAGGACATAAAGCAGGGTTCTGGAGGTTCAGGAGTAGTGTTCATTCTTCGTTGTTATCCTTCCAGTTTCTCAATCATATACAGCAACGAATTTAGGAAAGAAAAATAATGACCTACCCTAGCTCTTGAATGACTTTCATCCTGTATTCGTCAAACTGCATTTCAGATTTTTTTTAATCATATGTATTGGCGAGTACATCTTGTTAAATGTGACTCTCTCTAAAAATGTATTTGTTTAATAATATTTACTGGCCACTGAAATGTAGTTTCACATTTTGATGTAGAAAAACCACTTCAGTTTACCCAGTCACTTGTATTTCAACATAATAGCATTATTTTTCAGTGCTTTTCTTGGAACTAAGGGAATTGCCAAGAATAGTAATATATGAAAACTGAAGGCATGTTAGTTGTTGACATTAGTAATGGATATATTTCAAGGTCTTATCATTTTTAACTTTTAGTTTCAGGAGTGCATGTGCAGGTTTGTTACATAGGTAAACTCGTGTCATGGGGTTTGTGGTTCAGATTATTTCATCACTCAGGTACTAAGCCTAGTACCCAGTAGTTATTTTTTCTGCTCTTCTCCCTCCTCCCACCTTCCACCCCCAAGTAGGCCCTGGTGTCTGTTGTCTTCTTTGCGTCCATGAGTTCTCATCATTTAGCTGCCGCTTATAAGTGAAAACAGGTGGTATTTGGTTTTCTGTTCCTGCATTAGTTTGCTAGAGGTAACGGATGGAGCTGAAGGTCTTTCATCTTTTAGAAGAGTGAAACTTACAATGAATAGTTTCTCAAGAGCACAGCCATGAGTGTGCTTCTGTGCGTATTTAGGTGTAATAAACCTGGACAGCGCCTCTGGGTATTATAGCTAAATTCTGTTTTCTCCCCAGCAGCTGGAATCATGGTACTGATTTGTAATGAAAACAGACACAGTTTGTGATGCTGATACGGGATCTCCTGTATCCTGCTCCTTCTGTGTAAGGTTTTTATAAAGTATTTGGAGATGTTAACAGATGTCTTTAAGGCAGTTACAAAGATGACAGATTGCTAAGAGTGAAATAAATATAGAATAATTCAGAAAGGAAAAATTGATAGACAATTGCATTCTTATTCTAGCTGTGTTTTTCTCTGAATAGCTGGTTCTCACGCTGCATATTTCAGGATAGAGGACAGGAGCTGGTAGATGGGCTCAAAGTCTGCCTGCAAGGTTAGTCGCCTGTGGGGTTGCCATTCTACTCTCTAAACTGGGGTCTTCCAGAAATTACCCTGAACTGTGTTATTGATGGGCCCAGACTTTGGGAAGAACAGACGAGTTGTGTCGTAGGCATGAATTGACATAAAACTTCTCTGGCCTGTTTCAGCGGCTCTGAGGGCTTGGAATAGCTGCAATGAGTACATGCCCAGCCGGATCATCGTGTACCGCGATGGCGTAGGAGACGGCCAGCTGAAAACACTGGTGAACTACGAAGTGCCACAGTTTTTGGATTGTCTAAAATCCATTGGTAGAGGTTACAAGTAAGCATGCAAATTGTAAAGCATTTTCTTTTTATAAAACTGCACCTTTGTATCTTTGAAATTAGCATCACAAGATGAAAGGATGAGGGAGAACCTAACTTGATAGGGACTGTAGGGCCTTTGAGGTGATGGGAAGGGCAGAGGGAAGTTTCTATTGGAAATTTTTCACAAGAAGGCTGTGTTGAGGGGTAGTATAGAGGGTCATTCCTTCACAGAATGGGACAGTAAGACACCATTACCAATCATTGATCAGCTTTCTTTCTTACCTAAGGCCTTGGAGTGCAAGTATCTGATAATTCTGTACATCCAAAGGCGTCCACAGGATTCATTATTGAAATAAGTGTTCCTGACAGTCTTAGCTTACTGAATACTTGTTTCATTTCCTTGTGGACTTGACTAGTGTTTGATCAGTAAGGTGATTTGGCGAGCATCTAGTCTCATGGGGCAGGGGTAGTTCTACTTTCTCCCTTTTTTTTTTTTTTTTTTTTTTTTTTGAGATGGAGTCTCGCTCTGTTGCCCAGGCTGCAGTGCAGTGGCACAATCTCGGCTCACTGCAACCTCCGCCTCCCAGGTTCAAGTGATTCTCCTGCCCCAGCCTCCTGAGTAGCTGGGATTACAGGCGTGCACCACCACACCTGGCTAATTTATGTATTTTTAGTAGAGACGGGGTTTCACCACGTTTGCCAAGCTGGTCTCAAACTCCCATCCTCAGGTGATCCACCCATCTTGGCCTCCTAAAGTGCTGGGATGACAGGCATGAGCCACAACTCCCAGCCTCTACTTTGTCCTTTTAAGGAATGTGGACAGCCGAGGATGGTATCCAGATGCTGCACTTGTTTTCCTTTGAAACCCATATTGGTTTTTGTCTTCCTCTGCTCTCCTACAGACATTTCCGTCAGTGCCATTATGAGTCAATAAAATGTGTACCATCGCAAGAGAGCCATTCTAATCAGTTACGTTAACTAGTCCTCTTTATCAGATCTGTGAGTGATTTGAAATCAGGGACTGTTGTATTAAGGGCTAAGTGCATAATACATTACAGATTTAAAGATTGAACTTTTCAGGATATTTGGAAGATCTTGGATCCTGTTTCGTGTGCTTGCACATACATATTACACACCCATTATTCTTGTATTTTAGCATTTTGTATCATTATAGAAAGGAGGGATTCTGAAAGCCACTGGCCACATCTGGGGCTTGATTTTATCTGGTGCGTAGGAAAAGGACAAGCACCAAGAGGTCATTCCTTATTTCTACTAACGGGCTTCTGAGTCATCTTTGGCCAATGCTAAAAGGCCCCACACAATAAGTGTTTATCCCAGACGTTTCTTAAAATGACATGTGATGCCGTGAAGGTCTCAGAGAAAGTCAGGAGTGTTTTTATCTTTTTTGAAATAGTTGTGTTTCAGATTAAAAGACCACGCATTTTTTAATATTTTGGAAATGAAAGTTAATGTTCTTTCCTATTCCCTTAAGACTCTTAATGCTTATATTTTGTCAAATAATGATACTTTGTTTTCAGGCTTTAGAAGCCTTATTGTATGTTGTTCTCTGACTTGGCCTTTCTGTCTGTGTGGGGAGGTGTGGTGTGGTGTGTGCAGCAGGCAGTAAAGGAGGCTCTGACTTGGACTGCTTCTTTCCTACTCTTTTTTTCCTGCGATTTACTACTTGAGCACACAGTGTTTTCTAGTCTTTATTGTCATTTCCTCATACCTGAAGTGAAGGAAATTGTCAAGAAATGATGAATAGAGGTCATAGTGCAAGTTCGTCACATTCCCTTGAGCTGAATTGTAGGGCTACTAGGAGTACACACTCCTGGCCTTGCTGGGTCATCTCTGTTTCTTAGGGTCCTTTGGGTTTGATTCCCAGAAGGACTGGCAGAAATGGCTCTTGAAAAGGAGGTTGCCACCCTAGTGAATGAGTACCTGTGCACAGTCGTCCTGAGTGTGCAGAGTGGACCCTGGTGCAGCTGGTGGGTGCGCCTACCCAGCTCCATCAGCGAGTGGGAACACAGCGTTGCAGGGAAGGAGAACCTAAGTCGACTGCTTGGGCTGACACTTAGTGCACTGTTGCGTGAAGTAGACTGCACACTGTGAACTGTGGCAGTAGGGATCAGTGGTAAAAAGCAATATGTCTTAAAATCAGAGTTTGGTTAATCCCAGCTTTAGCTTCGTTTGTAGAAGAAGGGAACAGTTAACTGAGGCATTGCAAGGCGTAAATGAAAATATACGTAATGGACTTCACACAGTATCCAGTAAGTATTCAATACATGGTAGATAGTTCTGGGAAAAACCTTCAAGTTGTACGTAAAGGTAAAATATCTGAAAATTATTCTTCACTTTTAGAAAATGCAAAGTTTGGACTTCAATGTTTGTCTAATAGTTATCATTAGAACCACAATGTTTGCTTTCAAATTGAAATGTTGCTTTTAAGCTTTTATAGCAACGTATCACAGGGCAGCTGATTTAGACTGTTTGATGCAAGAACAAATCAGAAAGTCATGCCAGCATATTTGTGACCTGTTTTTGTTACTATATTTGCTAAATTGTTTCTCGTGATGTTATAGGATTAACTTTATCCACCTTATGTCCTTCCGTTCCTAAGACTGATACTTGTTTTAGATGCTGTCATGAAGTCCTAGATAGTCATCACTTTCTAACAAGGCCCTATGCTGAACTTAATCTCTGTAAGTGGCAGAGGCATTTGAAACAGAGGGCTGCACACGTTTTCAACACGTTCATTGTGGCTTTGTTATATTCAGAGCTATTAGCACGGGCAGTCGCTGGGCAGCAGTAGTCTGCGTAGGCAGATAGGGACATTTCTGAAGATGTCCTCTGCTTACTCAAGTACTCTCACTGAGTTTCTTGCCCTATTCAATTTTCAGTGAAAAACATCAGCAACATTGCCGAGTCAGACATTACTAGGTCCATACTGTATAAAACCCTCTGCTTCCCAGCATTGGAAATCAAGTGTATCTGTCCTCTTAAGGAACTAATGTTGTAGTTGGAGATGGAGGTGCTAATAATCATGTTTATCTAGTGCTTACTACCTGGCAGTGCTGTTCTAATTGCTACCTGTTCTAATTCATGGATTAACTACATGGATTGTGTGTGTACAAGTGTGGCTGCTTCAGAAGGATTTGAAGTGAGCCTGGAGGAGGGGGTGGAAAAGGATGTGAAAGGTACTCAAGCAGACCAGGCAGTGCAAGTGCAGGGCTGCTCTCCGCAGGGTCAGAGGGAGGGCAGAAGGGCCAGGGATCTGCCGGGACGGACAGCTGATAGTGCACGGCTGTGTCCAGGCCAAGAAGCCTGATGAACCTTGACACAGGAGAGCCGCCTGAAGAATCCAGGTGGGGATGGGTGGCTAAAAAGGGCAGCCTCTAGTATGGGTGCATCTGGCGTGTGGTAGGCCAAGGAGTGTGGGGCCGTCCTGGGGTCTGCGGAAAACGTCATTTGAGACTCCGGTGAAACACGAGTATGAAAATGAAGTTACTCCTCCTGAAAAAGGTATATGAATATGTAGTATGTATGTATGAGTGTGTGTCTGTGTGTATCCCCGATATATAGTGAAACGGTAATTTTGAAAAGCACTACTTAAATCCACTTACCTGTCAAAGATTTTAGAGTTAATATTATATTTTCTACACAGTAGAAAATGCCCACTGAAGACTGTTATAAATTGTGAATTTTGAAGACATGCTGGATTTAACATTTTGGTGTGATTGGTATGTAATGTGTTTGGTCTATGGATAAACCATCTACATGACCGTGTGTCACAGGACATATGTGCCATTTGGTTTCCCTCTCACCGTTTATCCGTGGTCTTTACTCCTGTCAAGAGTAAGATCCTGATCCTTCTCCACAACCTGGACAGATGATACGCCCCAGGAGGGATGTGTTCCTTTTTAAATGGAGCATGTGAACACCTGAATGAATGAGTGCCCTGAAAATATGACTGGCTAAATGCAGTTACATTCATCATCATTTTTAAGCCCTAGACTAACGGTAATTGTGGTGAAGAAAAGAGTGAACACCAGATTTTTTGCTCAGTCTGGAGGAAGACTTCAGAATCCACTTCCTGGAACAGTTATTGATGTAGAGGTTACCAGACCAGAATGGTAAGTTCCATGTGATGAGCTGAAGGTTGTTTTCTCCTTGGTGGTGGTTTCTTTAGCATGGCCCCTATGCTTTACCAATTTTAATACATTTTACTTTTGTTCTTATATTTTTTATAAACATTAATTTTTTCAACTAATTTGGTCAAACATAATTAATAAAGCCCATGGTTTCCTGGTGTCTGAACAGAGGTTTCCAAGTACAGTTTTTCATTGGGGGAAAGAGGATTATTTTCTGTGGTATTAACTACACATAGGGAGATTAAGCATTGCTTCTGTAGATTGCTTTTATATTTTTTACGTACATAACCTATCCACAGATTGTTTTCTAGTAAAAAGTGTTTAGATTTGTAATACACTTAGTTGTCTAAAGGTCAAGAAGTTTTATCTGAGACAGAGGTGCTTATGAGTAAAGTGGCTTCTGAGCCGAGCTGCACTCACCGACCGCAAGAAAAGCAGAATGCCAGCCGGAGCTTACAGCGGGCACCGGCAGGCACAGGGAAATGGCCTTAGTAGCACGGGAGGATTCCGTGAGAAAGTCAGGAAACTTGGCTCCTTTTTTGGGACAGAGTCACTGTGTTCCCCAGGCTGGAGTGCAGTAGCATAATCTCGGCTCGCTGTAACCTCTGCCTCCTGCGTTCAAGGAATTCTCATGCCGTAGCCTCCTGAATAGCCGGAATTACAGGCATGCACCACCATGCCGAGCTAATTTTTGTGTTTTTAGTAGAGACGAGGTTTCACCACGATGGCCAGGCTGGTCTCAAACTCCTGGCCTCAAGTGATCCGCTCGCGTCAGCCTCCTAAAGTGCTGGGATTACAGGCATGAGCCACCACGCCCAGCCGAAACTTGTTCCATTTTTAGTGAGTTCCTCAAAAACCCTTTTGTGTGAGGTGTTGTTAATGCAGTGAGCATGTTCGTGATGGCAACCCATCAGTCATTCTAAGTTGACACTGTACTCAGGACAGCGAATCGTTGGGAGGACTTCTGTTTTTCTATGTAGGTGCTTTGGAACCTTTGTGAAGAAGGCGACTTTAAGAGGATAAAGTCTCGGCCTGTGTGCAAAGTTGACATGTGGAACACTTCTCCTGTGTGAATCTTGGGTAAATGAGGCAATACTATAGCGACTTTAGGTGGAAAATGATAATAGCATACAGAGTTTAGTCTTATCTAGTCTGCTCTGTTATCTGACAGTGGAGAGAAATTTTTATTTTGAAATACATTATCTTGGATTTCTGTCTTTTTCTCAGACAGATGTTATGGCATTGGCTTAGGTTAGGTTATGGCATTGGCTTAGGTTACAAGGTTCTAATAGGTTAGAAGGATTCTAGCCTATTGGGGAAAAATTGGCTAGAAAGACAAAAGAAGGCTAAGATGTTAACATAGCAAATTCATTTCTGCAGGATTCTCTTTCACCGTATTCAAAACGACCCCCGATGCTTTCCAACATTGCTACTACTCCTAACGCCAAAGCCCAGATGTGACATTGGCCTGAAGACAGTAACTTAAACAAATTGGGTAAAATCCCAGTTGAATTATGAAGTATAAAAAACGTCATGAGTTTTCACTAGATATTATTAAAATGTAGCAACTGCTGATGCTATTCGGACACCTGGAGAAGCCCACTCTTTTTTTTTTTTTAGTTTCATTTTAAGTTCCGAGACACACGTGCAGGACGTACAGGTTTGTTACATCGTGCCATGGTGGTTTACTGCACTTATCAACCCATCACCTAGGTATTAAGCCCCACATGCATTAGCTCATGCATTAGCTATTTATCCTGATGCTCTTCCTCCTCCTTACCCCCCAACAGGCCCCAGTGTGTGTGTCATTCTCCTCCATGTTCATGTGTTCTCATTGTTCAACTTCTGCTTATAAGTGAGAACATGCGGTGTTAAGTTTTCTGTTCCTGCATTAGTTTGCTGAGGATAACGGCTTCCAGCTTCATCCATGTCCCTGCAAAGAGCATGATCTTGTTCCTTTATATGGCTGCATAGTATTCCATGGTGTATATATACCACATTTTCTTTATCTGGTCTCTCATCAATGGGCATTTGAGTTGATTCCATGTCTTTGCTATTGTGAATAGTGCTGCATGAACATACATGTGCATGTATCTTTATAGCAGAATTATTTATATTTATTTGGGTATATACCCAGTAATGGGATTGCTGGGTCAAATGGTATTTCGGGTTCTAGATCTTTGAGGAATCACCACACTGTCTTCCACAATGGTTGAACTAATTTACATTCCCACCAACAGTGTAAAAGTGTTCCTATTTCTCCTCAGCCTTGCCATCTGTTGTTTCTTGACTTTTTAATAATAGCTATTCTGACTGGTGTGAGATGGTATTTCATTGTGGTTTTGATTTGCATTTCTCTAATGATCAGTGATGTTGAGCTTTTTCATGTATGTTTCCTGGACACATAAATTTCTTCTTTTGAGAAGTGTCTGTTCTTGCCCTTTGCCCACTTTTTAATGTTTTTTTTTCTTGTAAATTTGCTTAAGTTCCTTGTAGATTCTGGATATTAGACTTTTGTAAGATGGGTAGATTGCAAAACTTTTCTCCCATTCTGCAGGTTGTCTGTTCACTCTGATGATAGTTTCTCTTGCTGTGCAGAAATTCTTTAGTTTAATTAGATCCCATTTGTCAATTTTTGCTTTTGTTGCAACTGAGAAGCCCGCTCTTAATGAGCACCAAAGTCATCTGTAATCACCAGCACTGCAAATGGTTTGTGCCTAAGCTGGGAAGCCGGGCTTGGATTCCAGCCCTGGCATGATTTCGCTGTTCTTTCTGAACAAGTCATTTAACATTTCTTAACTCCTCATTCTTTGAAAAGGTAGCTATACCATCTGTTGTAGATCAGTTCTGCTTTCCTAATTTTACTAGTTTTGATGGGCATAATAAATCGCAGGGTTAATTTCCTTAAATCTTTATTGGGTCAAATTACAATATCTCTGGATTGATATTTTATTGGTACCAAGAAAATGAAAAAAAAAAAAACTAATGCGTATTCCTTCATATTTGTACTACAGGCGGCTCTCTTTATCTGTAGGTCCTGCAACCATAGATTCAACCAACCTCGGATCAAAAATACTTGGAAAAAAGTCTGTACTAAGCATGTGCAGACTTTTTCTTGTCATTATTCCTTAAACAATACAGTAAAACAACTATTTACATAGCATTTGCATTGTATTAGGTATTATAATCTAAAGATGATACTTTCGAGTATATGGGAGGTTATAGAAAGACAACATCATTTTATATTAGGGACCTGGGCATCCGAGGATTTTGGTATCCTCAGGAGGTCCTGGAACCAATTCCCAATGGATGGCTATACTTGGTTTTTGTTCTTCCATTTGGTCCCATACTAGTTTATATTCTTTCATGTTCCCTTCCACTTAAAGATTTGCATTAAATTCCTGGGGATTAAAATGAATTCTATTTTTGTTAAATAACAATGGGAACAGCAAGAGGGGAAAAGATTCCGTGGTAAAAGCATGTTTGGGGAGTAACAGTCCCTGAAGCTCGACCCACTCGCTGCCCCCACAGGTCGTGCTTCCAGAGTCTGAAGGCTCAGTCACATGGTTCGGGGGTCGGGGTGGAAAACAGGACCTGGCCAAGTATGCCATCGTTTTTAGCGCCCGTAACAAACGCTTGGTTCTGCTGGGAGGCATCATGACAGATATTTAAAATCAAAATCATCATCTTTATGATAAACATCTTTCACACATAAGCAGTCCCAAATGGTTCATGAATAACAGGCTCCTGGACTTCAAGGAAGCACGTTACAGCGTGAGAAGAGATGAGGTTACTGTAGTAACTTACAGTGAAGAGTGGTACAGAGCTTTTCACTGTAAGAAACTGGAATCACCCTAATTTTAGTTTTCAGCACATCCGTGTGTTTTCTGTAATTCCAGGTATGACTTTTTTATCGTGAGCCAGGCTGTGAGAAGTGGTAGTGTTTCTCCCACACATTACAATGTCATCTATGACAACAGCGGCCTGAAGCCAGACCACATACAGCGCTTGACCTACAAGCTGTGCCACATCTATTACAACTGGCCAGTAAGTGCTTCTACTTGTTGATGTTTAGCAAATAAAGGACATTCACTTTTCAAAATGAAATAGCTGTGGTTTAAAAGGCTTTTAGGGTTAATACTGAGATTTGCAATTGAAAGAGGCTAAGTCTAGAGTAATAGAACCTTTTTTTCCTTCCACTAAAGGGTGTCATTCGTGTTCCTGCTCCTTGCCAGTACGCCCACAAGCTGGCTTTTCTTGTTGGCCAGAGTATTCACAGAGAGCCAAATCTGTCACTGTCAAACCGCCTTTACTACCTCTAACCTGCAGAAGACGATGCAGCCGCTTTTCTTTTTGAAATGACTTTGGGATTTTTTTAAGCTTTTATTTACTTTTTTTTTAACTGTTATCTTTCTGGATGAAACTTGGGAAGGGGATTAGGAGATCTAGCATTTTATTTCTAGCATTGCTATTCACCGGCTTCCTTATTTTATACGTAAAAATTAAGATTTTATATTTTATCTTCTTGTTTCTCATAGATATTTTGTGAGCATTTTTTTGTTTATTTTGAAGAAATGTGGATAAGATACTTGGTAGTATAAAACAGACTCTCTGAGAGTATTTGAAATGTGTTTGGAGATTTACTTAAACGTACTTTCAGGAGTGAGCAAGTCCTACTTATAAACCTATATTAACTTTATTTTTGAGATACCTGTTTTGAATTTAAAGGAGATAAGAGGCGTAAAGTAGGATGCTCACTACAACCATAGGTGGGGTTTCAGCTCATATCTTAAAGATAAAAGGTACTATTATATAACCTATACACAAGATACAGGAGAAAATATGCTTGATTTTTATTTGGCAGGGGGGCTAGGTTGTATGGGAGTAAAAAAAACATTGAAAATTTTTAAATTGTCCAAAGAAACATTTTAAGACTCTTTAACAAAAAAGGCCATGAGTAAATCTCTATATTAACATTACTATTTATTTTGTTTTGGAACTGGGACATGATTCTATTTGTTATAAAATAAAATTGATGTGATTGTCACCTTATTTGAATAACTGTAATTCTTGTTTTACTGAAAGTATGTGCGTTTCCTTTTCATTTAATTTTTAAAAGTGCATACAATTCCATTCATAAAAGCTAAATTAGCCTGACCAACATGGTGAAACCCCATCTCTACTAAAAATACAAAATTAGCCAGATGTGGTGCCAGGAGGCTGAGGCAGGAGAATCACTTGAACCTGAGAGGCGGAGGTTGCAGTGAGCAGAGATCACGCCACTGCACTCCAGCCTGGGCAACAGAGTGAGACTCCGTCTCAAAAAAAAAAAAAAAAAAGCTCAATTAGTGTCTCTTACGAACTCTAATGTCAGAGTAAAATTTTTTAAGGAAATGCTGCCACCTCCAATATTTGTAGTATAAGAACGGGTATCCACAGCTTATAAGGAAGCACAGACTAAGAAGTCTGTGGTGTTGTGAAGTTGGTAATTGTAGTTTTTTATATCTACATATTTATAGGAATTCTCAGGAACGTTTGCAAAGAGAAGGCTTAAAATTAATGAATTATTGTAAATCCCGGGAACACCTTTAAACATTGCTTACAAATGTGATGAGTGTAAGCTTTAATGACAATACACAAGTCCCTGGAACCGTAATTTAAACTAACGCAGATCACTCAAGTCATTTGTCTTACCTTTGTGGCACACGGTCTCATTCTGGATTTAGCCTCATTAACATATTATGAATGAAAACCATTTTATTTTCCTTTTAGTTCTTAGAGCTAATAATTGTTGTTAACATTGTTCTGGGCAAGCAGCCCAGGTTCCTTAACCTGTTCGATTTCTAAGCATGAGAAGACAAGAAACACAGAACAGTGTGACCTTCAAAAGGAGGCCAGAGACAAACATTTCAATGGTAGAAGTTGCTTAAGGTTGTCCTAGCATTAAGGAATATAAGGAAGTCTAATCATACGACTGGAAAATATTAATTTATTTATGGATTTTGGTGGCTAGTCAGTTAGTTAAGTCATGAAAAGCTCATTCTTAGCAGGTCTCAGCTCTGCCTCAAAGTGAAAGTTGAATTTAATGTCTTTAGAACCGTGAAAAATTGGTAAATGTGATAATTGTGGAAAAGTTGCAGGTGTCCAGAGACCCCACTATATCAAGAAAGACTTAGTTGAAAGGGACAGAAAACTGGCTGAAGTTATTTTAAGCCAAAAAAGGGTATTGCTTGGTTTTGTCATCATCCTAGGTAACACTTCCCAAATTTACTAATCTGTTAGACATCACCTGGTTGGGTTTGTGATAACACAGACTGGGTTCCAAACTGTACCTAGGAATCGGGACTCTCAGGGGAGAGGCCAGGTGAACAGTCTATTAAACAAGTCCCAGGTGATTTGCCAGGGACTTTTGGCAAATGCTAGTTGAAAGGGGTCTCCTTAACATCGTCTTGGTTATGCCTCTGCTGTGGTTTTCATCAGACAAACCTGTTGCATGCGGCGACAGAGACTAGGTTGATGTCTGAGCCACACCGAGTACACGGAGCACTGTCAGAGAATTCACTGCCGCACTCACAAAGAACAAAGCAAAGACTCCGTGAAATCCCAGTTTCTCCTTTCACGTGGGATGTGCGTATCTGAGTGGGATGTCCAAAAGCTTTAGTGTTAAACACACTGACCTCAGGCTCTCCCTTCCCAAAGCTTCGTCTGACCAGTCTACCTGGTGGTTCCTGAAGGAACCCCAGGGATTTGGTGGGTGGTTCCCCAAAAGTGCATGCCTGTAGGAAGTCTGTCCACTCTTTTCTGGGTACATTTTCCTTCAAAATTCAAAAATGTGACACTCATTGAAGCATTCTATTTAGCAATTTTACACGCATTCCCTAAGTCCTACAGGAGTTTTTTGGAGTAATCTCCTGAACCTGCTGCTTACACACAGTGACGGCTCTGGCTCTCTCCTCAGAGTCAAATAGAAAGTATTTTCAACAGCAGTTTCATTCTGATACTATGATACGAGTCTTCAGATATTTCGTACATTTCTAAGTAAAAGCTTAAAGTTTGTGTAATTGGTATTGTCATTCAGATACAAGATTTCAAAAGCTAGGTTTAATTTTCTTTACCTTCATTATTACTACCCAATGATTTTAAAAATCCATTGTGTACAATAGAGAAACTGTAAAATTTTCAAGAGTAGTCAGGAGGGAGTCCCTGCACTTGGAGTAAGATGACTCTTCTCTCTAGGCCACCATTCAAAGGAGGCTCCATGGCCTCTACACTCTGAGTTAAGCTGCCCTTCAAGCACCCTGTGCTGCCAGAACTCAAGTGGGCACCTAGAACTCTGCACTGCGGAGTCCAGCGCTCTGCCCTCGTCCATCGCAGCCTTCCCACTCTCATGCCTGGGAACCCCACGACCAGTGGCATGCCCCATCCCTGGGCTCTTCCCACAAGCCCAAAGCTCCAGGTGATCCCTCGTATTTCAGGCTCATCTCTGAGGAGCTCTTTGCAGTCTCTTTTTTGACACCATCCCCTGCTCCTCAACTTTTCCTGTGTCCTCTGGAGCTCATTCTCAACAGCCTCTTAGGGGCGGTTTCTTTACATCTCCCTTTAACAAACTCGGCTTTCTCCCGGGTCACTCACAGTGCTGCTGTTGTCTCTCCTACACTTCTCGTCTGCCGAGGTCTGGAGGGTGAGGTAGGTGTCCCTCTTGCTCCTCACTGATATTTCCAGACACCCCGACCCCCGCAAAAAAGAAACCACTCGGCTTTGAATCTACTTTGATCAGATCATGTCAGCCGCTCCCCCTCCCTTTGCCACTTTATGCTCCCCGAGCTCCGATTCCTCCTTGCAGATGGTAGCTCCTGGCTTGCTCACATTGTCCTGTGGTGCTTTCTTTCTAATTCTTGGCTAAAACACACCGGTGAAGTCCAGCTTTTTGCCTACTTGCCTGTTCCTTTGCAAATAAACACGGCTGGAGAAAAGCACGCAACCCTGTGTAACTGTTGTATTTCAATTCATGATCACAAGCAGGTATTTAATGCTGTCAATACATGTATGTCTAGCCATTGGCTCCACAGCTCTCTGATGTTTTTCATACCTTGTCTCCTTACACCACCACCACCACCACCTCCATCCTCATTCTCAACTACTGTCTATTTTGCTAAAAATCCAGGCAGAGCTTCACAAGCTCCCACCTGAACCGCGTTTGCTCTGCAGCCCGGTGTTGTGGCGGCACGCACGGTCTGTGCACTCGGCCAGAGCACACCCCACCTGCTTGGGCACAAGACATTCATTTTTGGAGGATGTTGTTTTGGAATCTCGTCTCTCCTTGTTTCCCTGCTTTAGTATTTTTCTTTTCCTATTCATTCCCAACAGCTTGCAAAACTGGTGTCATTTTTTTTTTATGTTAAAAAATAAAAGCCTTTTGGGCCCCATTGACCCTTAACTACTGTTCCATTTCTCTCTTTCCCTCAAAACTCCTGTGTTGTCTGGACTTCTTTCCTCCCCATCCTCTCTTGAATCCAGTGCCAGCTGTTCAATTCCTGGCCATCCTCCAGCCAGACCTGCTGCACGCCTGGCATGGTGTCCCCTTTCTCCTGGAAACATGCTCTGCCTGGCTTCCACGATGCCATGCTCTCTTGGCTCCCCACACCTGACTGTTCCTTCTCAGTCTCTTGCTGGTTCTTGTCTCTAAGGCCTAAATGTGCCTTCAGACTCTGCCAGGATCCCCTTTCTTTCTGCTCTTCCTCTGTTGGTGATTTCACCCATGACTCATTTGTATGAAGATGCTTCCCAGACCACATCTCCAGGCCCAGTTTCCTCCCTGAACTCCACACTCACATCATCAGCTGTCTCCTAGACGTCTCCCTTAGGCTGTCCAACACAATGCTGCTCAGACTTCTTGGTCTCGGAACTGCCTGACACTCTTCAATTACTGAGGACACAGAGATTTTGTTTATGTGAATTATATCTGTTGATAATTACCATATTAAAAATTAAAACATCTAAAAATATGCGTGCCCATATTCCATTGTCAGAATGATACTGTCAGCACATGACGTGTAGCCTCTGGAAAACACTGTATATGCCTGAGGGCGCGTTAGAGTGCAAAGGAAAAGTGACCTCTCAGTATCATACAGATAATTTTGATTTCGCAGAACTCCAAAGGAGTCTGAGATTTCCAGGGGCCTCCAGACCGCATTTGACAACCTCTGGTTGAACTGGTGTCTCAGTATGCTCAAAGTTAAACTGTGATTTCTTGAAGCCCTGTTCCAGCTCCGTAAATCAGGACTTCATCCTTCCAAATGTTCATTCAGGCCAGAAACCTGGGAGCCATCCTGGAGTCATCTCTTACATCACACCTCAGATTCCTCAGTGAAGTTTATCAGCTTCACTTTCAAAATACGAGTACCTGTCCACTAATCCTGTCAGCCTAGCCTTCCTAACCCATGTCTCTGCTCTTGCCTTTGCCCCGACTTTGGTCCATTTTCAGCAAAGTAGTCACAGTGATGAAGTCACACATCTGCTTACAGTCCCACTATGGATCCCCATCTCAGGAACACAGAGTCGTTGCCAGGTTCCCATGTTGTGTCATCCCAGCTGCTCACAGGAGACTCGGTTCTCCTCCTGCCTTAGGGCCTCTGCCTGGTTTCCTCTGCCTGCTGTGCTCGGAGCCCAAGTTCCCGTGTGTTCCTTCAGGTCTGGGCTGAAATGGCACCAGCACAGGGAAGCCCTCTGTGACCACCCCCTGTGAGCGTGCAGCCTAGACACCTACCCTTCGCCTCTCCTCCCCAGCTTCACTGGTATCATTAGCTAGTGTAGTGCCCAGCTTACCTTTTCTCTTACTCATCTCCCGCTAGATGCTGAGCCCATGAGGGCCAGGATTCTTGAGTGTTTTGTTCACTTTTGTCTTCCCAGTTTCGATGATCCCCAGTGTATAGCAGGTTCTCAAATATTTATTGAACGGATAGGTGAATAACTAGTGCCGCCCATAATTCAGAAAAACAGCCCCTAGTATTTCCTGGGCATGTTAAAGTTGAAGGGCTCTGCCCCAACAGTGGTCCTTGATCCTTGGGTGCACATGGCGGTCACCAGGGAGCTCTAGCAACCCCTAATGTCGGTGCGCACGCAGTTCACGGAACAATCTCAGCTGGAGACCTGGACGTGGATATGTTAGAAATCTCCCCTGGGAAGTAAGTTACACCAGGCAGAGAGGTGGGGCCGTCCAGACAGGCGAAAAAGCAACCCGGCTTTTGAGAAACCTGGATTCTAAATCTCAGCTTCCGGCTGTATCTGAACACCAGATGCTCTGCTGGCATTGGGTGGTTTTCTTCATGGGTGCCTGGAGGAGTAGGTCCAGTCCATCCTGGCCATGTCCCCACCCATGTGGCATAAATGCAATGCCAGGGTGTGATCTGGAGGCACGAAAGGAGCCCTTTGGTGTGGCCCTGTGGCCTCAGCTGTGGCAGGGCCTGAGGTACCTTAGCACAAGCGGGCACTTTGCCCTTGGTCTGGGGCCTGGGGGCTGCATCTGGCCTCGTGATTTGCTCGCTTTCACCTTCCATCGGAGGCCAACCCTTCCCATTTGGTCCCAGGCCCTGTGAAGTGGAGAGCGGGAGTAGTACATGTACCTTCTTTCTGGACAGCGCAAGAATCTTTAAACACTTTAATGCTATTCTCCCTGACCCAACTTACATGCCATTGCTTCTGATTTAAATCAACTGAACTGAGGTCTAGTTTATTTACATAAAGTAAATGAATACAGTGTAATGAGTTTGGACAAATGTCTATACCTCTGGATCTACTGCCACCATCAAGCTTTAGAGAATGCCTATACCCTTCCTCCCACAAAGGTTCCTTCTTGCCTCTTTGCAAGCAGTCCTCCCCACCGGGACCAGATGCAGCAGTGACCTGCCTCTGGAATCTCACCTGGAGAACCGGGTAGCATGCACTCTTGTGTCTGGCTTCTTTTGGTCTGCCTGGTGTTTTAAAGCAGAGTCTGTGTATCTGTGTAAGTGGGTTGTTTGCTGGGTGGTATTCGACCGCGTGATGAGTTCACCATTTGTTTATTCATCATCAATCAGTGGGTGTTTTGGATGTTTCCAATCTTTGGCTAGTATAGTAGACTACCATGAAAAACACTGTTGAGGATTTTGTGTGGGGATGTATGTTTTCATTTCTCTGGCGGATACATAGATGTGGAATTGCTGGATTTATATGGGAAGCATGTCTGCAACTTCATGAAAAGCTAACAAGCTGTCTTCTAAGTATTTATGCCCTTTTCCCTTTTTTTTTTACAATGCGTGAGATTTCATTGCTCCACATCCTCACCAGTATTTGATGATGCCTTTTTAATTTTAGTAATCTTGTGGGTATGTAATCTTACCTTATTTTGGTTATTGTTTGCATTTCCCTGGTAAGTAATGTTGCTGAGCATCTTTTTGTTTACATGTTGGCCGTTCTTACATCTTCTTTTATGAAATGTCTGTTCAAATCTCTTGCACATTTTAAAAGTATTTTATTGAGTTGTAAAAGTTGTTCATGTATTCTGGATACAAATCTTTTGTTGTAGACATGCACTGTGAATATTTCCTTCCAGTTTCTGGCTTGCTGTTTTGCTTTCTTAAGTATCATTCAAAGAGAAGATGTTTGTACAACTGGATTTCAAAGTCCACTGATGGGGGAGAACCATCTGGTGAGGACTTAACACTTCCTACTCTTCGATGTGCTTCATGCATGGTTGAAAATGTAATTGTCAAAAAAGGCTGCCAAAGTTCTTGATTTGTATTCTGACTTGCAGTGTTTACTAAATAATATTTGGAATAGTATTTGGAAAAAAGTATCTTCCTTAGCTGTTTAATTCGCTGTAGGGTGAGATAGACTTACTTTAATGTAAGTTTGGCAGTTGACTTCATTTGTACCTGGTACTGGTATCTATAAATAATGCCTTTTTTCTTCATTCTTTTAAAATTTATTTGGCACATAGCAGACACTCACACATTTGTCAAATAAAAGACTTGTACAAATTTTTTTCTTATTGAAATTCAAACCACATTGAATAAACCTAAATGCTTCCTTGACAGTTCCTTCAACTCCCTCATCCCAATTCCCATCCAAGCATTGACAGTTCCTTCAACTCCCTCATCCCAGTTCCCATCCAAGCATTGACAGTTCCTTCAACTCCCTCATCCCAGTTCCCATCCAAGCATTGACAGTTCCTTCAACTCCCTCATCCCAGTTCCCATCCAAGCATTGACAGTTCCTTCAACTCCCTCATCCCAGTTCCCATCCAAGCATTGACAGTTCCTTCAACTCCCTCATCCCAGTTCCCATCCAAGCATTGACAGTTCCTTCAACTCCCTCATCCCAGTTCCCATCCAAGCATTGACAGTTCCTTCAACTCCCTCATCCCAGTTCCCATCCAAGCATTGACAGTTCCTTCAACTCCCTCATCCCAGTTCCCATCCAAACATTGACAGTTCCTTCAAATCCCTCATCCCAGTTCCCATCCAAGCATTGACAGTTCCTTCAACTCCCTCATCCCAGTTCCCATCCAAGCATTGACAGTTCCTTCAACTCCCTCATCCCAGTTCCCATCCAAGCATTGACAGTTCCTTCAACTCCCTCATCCCAGTTCCCATCCAAGCATTGACAGTTCCTTCAACTCCCTCATCCCAGTTCCCATCCAAGCATTGACAGTTCCTTCAACTCCCTCATCCCAGTTCCCATCCAAGCATTGACAGTTCCTTCAACTCCCTCATCCCAGTTCCCATCCAAGCATTGACAGTTCCTTCAACTCCCTCATCCCAGTTCCCATCCAAGCATTGACAGTTCCTTCAACTCCCTCATCCCAGTTCCCATCCAAGCATTGACAGTTCCTTCAACTCCCTCATCCCACTTCCCATCCAAGCATTGACAGTTCCTTCAACTCCCTCATCCCAATTCCCATCCAAGCATTGACAGTTCCTTCAACTCCCTCATCCCAAGTCCCATCCAAGCATTGACAGTTCCTTCAACTCCCTCATCCCAGTTCCCATCCAAGCATTGACAGTTCCCTCAACTCCCTCATCACAGTTGCCCATGCAAGCATTGACAGTTCCTTCAACTCCCTCATCCCAGTTGCCATCCAAGCATTGACAGTTCCTTCAACTCCCTCATCCCAATTCCCATCCAAGCATTGACAGTTCCTTCAACTCCCTCATCCCAATTCCCATCCAAGCATTGACAGTTCCTTCAACTCCCTCATCCCAATTCCCATCCAAGCATTGACAATTCCTTCAACTCCCTCATCCCAGTTCCCATCCAAGCAGTAACCATTGTTTGGTTTGCATATATTCTAGCAACCTCTCCCCCCACCCCCCAACTTTTTTTTACTTTTGTATTTTTACTACTAATTTCAAACTGGAAAAAAAGACCAATGTCATGAACCTGGTTTCATCCTGCCTAGAAGTAAAGAAGGGGAAATTGCTGAGCCTCTGAAACCAAGAGGACCACTAAGGTGTCGGGGTGGAGGGGAAAGGCAAAGAACTCTGTGGAATATCCCTTATCCTTTGAAAAAATTGAGTAGGTTGAGTAAGGAGAAACTGTAGATGATTTTACATTTAAGGATGACACCGTATTTGTCTGACTGATTTGAAGGCATGTTGTTAGCTGATTTCTTATGTCACATAGCTTTTTTATACTTGTCCAAATTCCAGTTGCCCTGGGTTGTCTTCCCCAAAAAGTGGAAGATGATTGAAAGTAGTACTCAAGATAAAAGGGCCTTAAGTAACACAGAATCATGTGTTGAGGAACTTCTTTTCTTTCAATTATGTTACTGTTGATTATGTGCAGGAGAAAGTCTCTCTTGTTGTTGGGGTGTCTGGCACCTCCATTTGCTCATCATTTGATTTTAACAAAGCCAAACAAAGTAGGCCCTAGGTAGAACTAAGAAGCAAGTCCAATGAGTCTTCTTTTTTTTACTAGACTTTATTTTTTAGAGGAGCTTTAGGCTCACAGTTAAATTGAGTAGAAGGTAGAATTCCTATGTGTTCCCCTCACCCACACAGGCCCAGCCTCCCCCATATCAACATATCCCACCCCCCAGAGTGGTTCCCTTGTTACACTTGATGAACCTACAGTGACATCATGATTGCCCCAAGTCCACAGTTCACATGAGGGTTCACTCCTGTATCTACCGTCAAGTTTGAGAGATTGCCTGTGCCCTTCCCTTTGCGTATTTTGGATAACAGTCCTTTTATGAACAGTCTGTGGATTTGGACGGATGTATAATGTATGTGTCCACCATCATGGGACGACACAGAGTCCTTTCATGGCCCTAACACCTCCCTGTGCTGTGCCTGTTCATTTCTCCCTCCCCTCCAACCCGTTGTAACCACTCATGTTTTCACTGTCTCCATAGTTTTGCCTTTTCCAGATGTCATACATTCTGAATCACACGGTATGTAACTTTCTCAGGTTGGCTTCTCTCTCTCAGTAATATGCATTTAAGATTCCTCCGTGTCTTTGTGGCTCATTTCTTTTTAGCACTGACTAATATTCCATTATTTGAATGTACCAGTACATGTATCCATTCACTTGCTTGAAGGAGTCATCTTGATTGCTTCCAAGTTTTGGCAAATATGAATAAAACTGCCATAAACATCTCTGTGCGGGTTCTTGTATGGATACACCTTTTCAACTCCTTTGGGTAAATACCAAGCAGTGTGCTTCGTAAGGTAAGACTATGTTTAGTTTTGTAAGAAACTGCCTGTCTTTTAGAATGGCGTACCATTTTGCATTCCCATCACTAACAAATGAGAGTTCCTGTTAATTCACGTCTTTCCCAGCGTTTGCTATTGTCATTGTGGGTTTTGGCCATTCTGATAGGTGTGTAATGGTGTCATATTGTCATTTTACTTTGCAATGCCCTGAGGACATGTGGTATGGAACATATTTTCCTATGCACACTTGCCATCTGTGTGTCTTCTGTGCTAAGGTACCTGTTAAGGTTTTTGGCCCCTTTTTTAATCAGGCTGTTGTCTCATTGTTGAGTTGTAAGAGTTCTTTGCATATTTTAGATAACAATCCTTTATCAGATAGGTCTTTTGCAAATATATTGAATCCTCTTTTTAAAAAACAGGTTAGGTGGCACTTAGTTATGGGAGCAATTGAAGGTAGAATGGAGGTGTTTGATGTTTGGGTAAAGTTACTGCCTTTGGAGAATTAAAATTTGTTAGCAGGGGCCACGAGGCCCTTCCTGATCTGGATCAACCTATATCTTCAGTGGTCACTTCCCATGTGGACCTTGGGTCCCAACCCTATGAATCCACTTGCAGCTCCTAAGGTGTGTGTTGTGCCCCGGAGTCTTCTAGCTGCCTCCCGGGTCTGGTAGGCCTGGACCTGTGAACCACTGAGTTCTCCTCATTGCTGCCTCTGCAGGCTAAATACTTCAACAAAAATTCCCTGACCCTCTTCCTGACCACCATGCTGCTTAGGGGCCTGGGCCGCCGTGGTCTGAGCCTGTGCCCACGGCAGTTTCTGATGTGAGTGCTCCAGAGCCACTTGCTGGCCAAATGGATTTGTCGTCACTTTAACCCCATTCTCTCCATTTGCAAACTGCCACATTGACAAGCAAAATGATTTTCTGAGTAATAACTTTGTTAGGCTTTTCAGGAATTCTCAGTAAATCATTGATAAAATCAGGTGTCTTCATAATTTCTGTAGTGCTGAGGCTAATGAGCTTCAATGTCTTCCTCTTCTCTCCCCTTTACCTCATTTCCCCCCACCCCAAGGTTTATACTGTTTAATTGTTGTTATATTGGCCAAAACCTGGGTTGAATTTTTGCCTTAAACTCTACATAGTTTCAGTCAAATAATACTACAGAAAGCCCAAGTTAAGTATGCTTTTATTTTTAAAACCAATTTTAGTAGTACAGTGTTTTGGAAAGCTGAAATAGTAAGAAAGTTTACACATGTTTGGTTAGGTTAAATATTTGTTTAAGTGCATTTTAGGAACTTTGTTTCTCAACTTAGGTGTAAACAAAATTCTCCTTTCCATGATTACTCAACAAGATAGATTGCAAGCTTTATCAGTTCCAGACTGTGCAGCTTTTATATATCAAGTCTTTACCATTGTCCAGTGTGAAAAATTCTTAATTGAATTAACCCATAGTAAGTCTTCCAGTTTTTATTGAATTGGAGATGCATAAATAGATTTGCATTTTTCTTGTACAAATTGCGTTCCACCAGGAGGATATGCCCAGGGTGAGGCTATTTCATGAGGGACAAGTTAATTTGACCAGGGCCTGCAGGCAGTAGCTGGCTTAGAATACAAATTGAGGAGACGTGTTCCCTATGAGAATCGGAGGCAGCTTTACTCCTGAGACAAGGAATCAGGGTCAGTGACTAGGAGTTCCAACAGCAAACCAGAGCCCCCACTTGGATTTCCTGGGGATCGAATAGCTGTATCTTTGTGGTAGAACTTGAAGTGCTATGATCTGCCTACAGGAAAGCCAAGGTAAAATGTCTCTGACTTCCCTCTAATATAATGATGGGGCTTCTTGCAGTCAGGGATCTTCTCCAGATTTCCTAGTGATAGCGCGGCCCAAAGAGTATGTGAGCCTCAGCAGCTCCCCACCTCCCACTCCAGATTGGGGCGCTTTTTAAATGCACGTACCCAAGACAAAAATTATAGAGGCATCAAGTGCTAAATAGACCAGCCCCTGGCTGGTTCTTAGAAACCTATCGTGTGGTTTTCAAATTTTACGTAATTTTTGTTAAAGCATTTAGCCTGTGGTGAGGCATATTTGCTTTAACATGTGCTTATTACAGAAGTTATGTTTCACTGTAGAAATTTCTGGAAATACAAATGCAAAATAAAACACAAATCTCTGTCATTCTGCAGAAACAGCATTCTTTTGACCCCTTTTGTTTTATTCTATAGATGTATATTTTTGTGTTTACAGAAACTTGATCATACTATTTTATAACTTGCTGTTTCATATAAAATTATCATGAACATCTTTTGTGTCTTGACATGTCTCTTCTTTTAATGAGTGCATAGTCTTCCAAACTACAAATCTTCCATACTCTGTTTAGTGTTCCTCCACTGCTAGAAATTTTGGTTGTTCCTGATTTTTATTTTCCCTTTTATAAATGTCTCTTTGGTGAACGTTATTAGACTTACAGTATAATCCAGTTGATACATAAGCGAATGAAGACAGTAACCCTCAAACAGATGTGTGTGTGGCATGTACATTAACTGCTATCCTTTCAGCACTTTGTTTTGTTGAAATGGCCATTTCCATTATGTTCAGGAAAACTCATTTTGGGAAGAATAAGCAATAAATTTATAATTAATGAAATCTGGTTCAGTTTTTCAGTTTGTCCAGGTTTTAAGAGAAGTTAGGCACTGGCCTAGCTTTAACTGATGTCTGTTGCCAGTGAGTTGAGATCATCAGGATTGCTCTGAATACATGCCAGATAAGGACGCTGAGTACCAGCACATAGGCACGGGTGAATGCTGCTTCAAATGGTACAAAATGATGTTCACCCATAAAGCAACAAGAACATGTTAATGACATACGTTGAATGGCACCTCTTGAAGTCCAAAGTCAGGAGCTTTATTGATTACCATATGAAGTGTTTCCTGGGATGCCCAGCATGTTTCCAGAAGAGCTGCTGGGGTGCATCGTGGTTTTATACAAGCTTGGCCATGAAAGGACAGATACTCAAACTATTGTATGTTTTCATCTTTTAAAACAAACCTTGGTCATAGAAAACCAACAGAGTCTTGTCCACCTTTGTCCTCTAATGCCTCCCAACATGTTATCTTCCTGAGGGGAGACCCTAAATAGATGACCTTTTTAAAAAATAAAAAGATGACTTTTTTTAAAAATAAAAAATCTAACAGTTGCTCATCTTGAAGAATAAAACAAAAGTAAATAACTCTTTGTTTTATTATCAGTTTCATTTTCCAGTTTTTGTATTTGAAATATTTTGGAGAAGGGAAAGATATTTTAGAGAAAATTCCCCGAAACAATAAACACAACATCTCTTTTTCGGTAAAATTGCTGTGCATTTTCTCTCCCTCTTCCACGCTCACCATAATACACTATTATGATTTTTATACTGCAGGGCTGTTAGTCTTTGCTTTTGATGAACTATTAGTTTTCATTTCCATAGATAATGAAGTGTGTAGTTAGTTGGCTTGGTGATGAGAAAGAATGTTAATATATTTCTGCCCACTTTACCAGCCTGTCCACAGTGCTGCAGATTTATTTTCAGAAGCTTTCTTAAAGCTTGTAATTGGATGGAATTTAAAGTGTTTTGTGTAATTCAAAATTGTCTTTTAAAGTACTTTCTTCATTGTTGAAACATTATCATGAGCTACTGTTGAAATCATTATTTCATAACATCCTTACGTGGGTTTTTTAGACTTTGCTCCAGTTCATTTGCTGTGCTGCTTTCGTTCATCAAATGCCTGATTTTAGTAACTCTTTAACATAGTTACCTACTTAACTGTGAAACAAAACACCCACTCAAATATATTTTTAACTTAATGTAAGTACTGCTTTAATACATGATGCAGTTTAACCTGTTTTCCTGAAGATGCGTCTATGTGAACGGCTTATAGATGTTTCATTGGCTGCGAAGTTCTCATGTTCCACACCTCAGGGCAGTTGCATGCACATTCAGAGATGATAAGAACTTATTATTTCAGCTTTCCGGATCAGTTTGAGGAGTGTCTTGAGATTTTAAGGCAAAACAGACATGTTTGTTATTTGACATTTGCACTGAAATCTGTGGCTCGGGGCTTTCTGGATACAGTGATGTCCCAAAAATTCAGAAACTGGGTATTAAAGCTGTTGAAAAATGTTACTTCTCCTCCCTTCCCTCCAATTTTAAATTTATGCCTATCAAAAGTCATGCTCTTTTTACCAGGTGACTGAAATGATATTTAAGTTGCAAATCTGGCCTTAAAAACATATCAGTCCTTTACTTGTCTATCTTAATAGATGTCTGTTTTTCAAATGAAACTTTCTGAAGCTCCTTGCTGCATGTTCTTCTGAATCTCCCTGTGCAGGTCTGTCCAAAGACCTAACCCACCGCCATCAGTACCACACATGCTGTGGTTTGGGAATGTTGTGGTTGGCTTCAGACTTTGTCTCTGATCCTCTTATTTGGATGCCATGGGAGAAGTTAAGACAGGAATAAGTAGATCGTTTGTTTCTTTTTTCATTTTTACTTTTAGAAAGGCTCAGATGCTCAGAATTGGAGCTGTCATAATCCTTGTTTTACAAGAGTTTATCATTGACCCCTGCATATCTTTTATTTTCCTTATTAATAAGGAAATGATAATAAGGAAATAATTATCCTTAATAATAAGCCCCCTTGAGCCCATCTCCCAATCCTGGAACTAAACCATGGCAATAGCCACCGTTCACCCATGCACACCACCCCTTCCTGTCTCCATTCACCCATGCACACTACCCCTTCCTGTCTCCATTCACCCATGCACACTACCCCTTCCTGTCTCCATTCACCCATGCACACTACCCCCTTCCTGTCTGCATTCACCCATGCACACCACCCCTTCCTGTCTCCATTCACCCATGCACACCACCCCTTCCTGTCTCCATTCACCCATGCACACCACCCCCTTCCTGTCTCCATTCACCCATGCACACCACCCCCTTCCTGTCTCCATTCACCCATGCACACCACCCCCTTCCTGTCTCCATTCACCCATGCACACCACCCCCTTCCTGTCTCCATTCACCCATGCACACCACCCCCTTCCTGTCTCCATTCACCCATGCACACCACCCCCTTCCTGTCTCCATTCACCCATGCACACCACCCCTTCCTGTCTCCATTCACCCATGCACACCACCCCTTCCTGTCTCCATTCACCCATGCACACCACCCCTTCCTGTCTCCATTCACCCATGCACACCACCCCCTTCCTGTCTCCATTCACCCATGCACACCACCCCTTCCTGTCTCCATTCACCCATGCACACCACCCCTTCCTGTCTCCATTCACCCATGCACACCACCCCTTCCTGTCTCCATTCACCCATGCACACTACCCCCTTCCTGTCTCCATTCACCCATGCACACTACCCCTTCCTGTCTCCATTCACCCATGCACACCACCCCTTCCTGTCTCCATTCACCCATGCACACCACCCCTTCCTGTCTCCATTCACCCATGCACACCACCCCCTTCCTGTCTCCATTCACCCATGCACACCACCACTTCCTGTCTCCATTCACCCATGCACACTACCCCCTTCCTGTCTCCATTCACCCATGCACACTACCCCTTCCTGTCTCCATTCACCCATGCACACCACCCCTTCCTGTCTCCATTCACCCATGCACACCACCCCCTTCCTGTCTCCATTCACCCATGCACACCACCCCTTCCTGTCTCCTGACCTCTATGCTGCCAAAGTGGATGCTGTTGAAATTATCATTCCCTTGCCTGTTGAAAAAGTTTTAACAAATGTACATGGGTCAGTATTAATTACTATTTATTTTTAGTTGGTTTTGAACTTAATAAAATTTACAGCATATCCTTGTCCAAATTTGCCAGTTTTTCTTTTATAGACAGAGTTTTCTGTGTTTTAAAACTTTTGCTCTAACCCAAAGTCAGAAATATGTTCATCTGTATTTTCCTAGAAGTTTATAACTTTAAATCTCTAGAGTAGAGCGAGTTGATTTTTGCATGGTCTAAAATAAGGGAACAATTTCCCTTTTCTCCATATGGAATGCATAGTCGTTTTCCACCTCCATGTCCCTTTCCTGAAGAATGTCTTCTTTTCGTTTTGGTTTTTCTTTTTGAGTCTCTCTCTGTCACCCAGGCTGAACTGCAATGGCACAATCATAGTTTGCTGCAGCCTCAAACTCCTGGGCTCAGGTGATCCTCCTGCCTCAGCCTCCCGAGTAGCTGGGACTCCAGGCATGCACCACCTTGCCTGGCTTCTTTTTTTCCACTGATCTTCCATTTAAACCTCACTCACACATCACAGCCCCATAAATGTGAAGGGCCATTTGTCATTGATCAGTTAGTTGATCTATCCCAGTATCAGCATCCCATTGTTTTAATTACTATACTTACCTACATCCTGATGTCTGGTAGGACACTTTCCTTTATGATTCCAAATGGATTTTAGAATATATTTGTAACATTCATGAAAAGTTTAAGATTTTATTAAATTGCATAGAATCAATAGGAATATGTAGGGAGAGTAAACAATCTTTACGATTTTAGGTTTTACCATCCTCCAAATGGCTTATTATCCCATTTACTTGAGTTTTAAAATGTCTTTCATCATAAAGTTTCATAATTTTCTGTGTACTGATATTGTACATTTTTGTTTGATTTATTCCTAAGTGCTTTTAGAGTTGCCATTGTAAATGTTTTAAGGATTATATTTTCTAATTTTTACAAGTATATGTAATTGAGCTTTTTAATATTGATCTTACATCTAGCTGCTTTAATACACTTTTATTTCTAATGATTTGCCTGTAGTATTTTGTGTTTTCTATGTAGGCAGTTGTATCCTCTGCAAACAATGATAATTCTGTTTTCTTCTTTCCAATCTTTATGCTTTCACTTTATTAAATTTTCTCCATTTAAGATTACATCCATTATAGGATTTTTATAAACACCTTTTACCAGGTTAACAATTTATTCATAGCTTTCTAAGAGCTTTCAAAGGCATTTCTGTTGAGTTTTTTTAGTTTTTCTATATCTATTGAGATGATAATATGGTTTTTATCTTTTATTCTGTTAACATAGTTCATGTTAGTTTAAGATTTTCTCAGATTCAATCATTCTTGCATTCCTGAGATAAACTAACTTGGTTCTTTTTTTTAAATATACCATTGGCTTTTGTTTGCTAACATTTTGTTTAGAGTGTTTACACTTATATTCATGATGAAATGGGCTTATAATTTTTTCATTTCCTTACTATCTTTGGTTTTGTATCCAGGTATACACTTCTCTTAAAATGTCTTGAAGGGTGTTGTCTTTTTATTTTTTGGAAGGGTTTATATAAGATTGGGGTGATCTGAGTATTTGGTAGGATTCTTTTTGTTAAACTCTCTAGGCCTGAAGTTTTTCTTATGGAAAAAAATTTAACTATTACTTTGGTTTCATTTGTACTTATCATTTTTTTAAGCTTTCAATTTTTTATTAATCAGTGTCATTATTTTACACTTTTTCCAGGCATTTGTCTATTTTTTTCTGGGTTTTCTAATTTATTAATAGAGAGTTGATAATACTTCATCTTTATAAAATCGGCTGTATGATTATGTTCTTTTTAATTTAAAAGTATTATTAACATCTTCTGTTTGTTGTGATCAGCCTTTCCAGCTGTATTTCCTTTAGTCTAGTTCAAAGTTAGTTCACATCAACTTCGTATTGTTGTTTTCTGTGTCACTGGCTTCTACTCTTTATCTCTTTTCTTCAGTTATCTTTTCTTCCTATCTAACATCTTAAGTTCATTAGTGTGTCTTTTCTCGTATAAAGTTATAAATTTCCCTTGAAGCATTGCTTTCCCTGCATCCTGCAAGCTTGTCGTGCTTTCATTGTAATCCAGCTCTCTCTCTCTATAGCTGATACACGAGTTCTTTAGAAGTGTATTTTATAAAATTTCTAAGTTAGTGCCATTTGATAATTTAACTTCCACTTAGTAGCCAGGGTTAATTTACCATGTTGTTGGAAACCAGAGCTCCTAACATGAACCCCAAGTTTTTAAAAAATAGTAACCAAGCTTAGTTGTGATTTTCTGGTGTATTGTTCAATCTAATCAGCACTGTGATTAGTATTTTAGTTTTATAACAAGTTTTTTTCTGTTACTCAGCTTCGTACTCTTAGTACTGCAGATAGAATAGGTATTTTAATCTTTTCTGATGTCTTCATTTCCAGGTTTTGGAATGTAATACATTTGAAAATAGTGCTGTGAGACAGTGGTCCACTGTCTTGTGTTTCTACCTGTCTGGTGAGAAGCAGTACTGACTACCTTTGTCCAGATGATGTTTGTGAGGTTGTTTGTACAGCAGACTGCCCCAGAAGGTAGAGATGGTGTCTCCCTTCAGAGCAGAGGGCAGGCATGCTTACAGGCCAGCGTCATAAAAATAATATCTTGCTTCAGGGCAAAAGTCAGACAAGGTTACTGCCCATTATAAAGGACTCCGGGGTCCCTCAGCCCAGGTTTCCCCTGCTCCAATTCAGCCACCTGTGTGTGTGTGGCATCACTGGTCCCGTTCACTTTGCTCCTTTGGAATTAGAGCTTGGGCAATGGGTACCAGTTATACTCTTTTTGCTTCTGACCACATCTTCTGTCTCTGACTCAAGGATCTCATGTCTTGTTTCCTACCCCTTACTCTGAAGTCATTTGTCATAGACCTTGTTTGGTTTGTTCCCTCTCTTTCTGCTCCTCTTCCCCTCCCTCCCTTTCACCCTTTCTTTTTGTTGTTTTCTTTCTCTCCTCTCAAACAGGTGAGGGCTGTATGCGGCCCACCCATCACTGGGCTAGACGGTGGGCTGGCTTGGCCTGGTCGTTGTCTCTCACCTGCTGGGCAGCTTCTTCTCCAGGACCGGTGCCTGCACAACTTACCTGGTCCCTGTCTCACTGCTTTGAAGCCTCCTGCCTTCCCCACATAGTTCTCTGTGCACTGGCACATATGGAAAATCAGAGTCCCAGCAGGTGCTGTCCCCGGGGCCCTCGCCCTCTTTCCCCTCTTCTGTCGTGTGGATCGCACTCCAGGGCTGTGTCCCTAGAATGGCTGTGGGCGTCTCACTGTTCTCTCCCTGCTTCCTACTAAGTTCCTCAGGAGTTGCTGATTTGGATGAGGGACAACCAGCAGCACATGGGCCTGAGGAAGAGGAAGGGCTGCTGAGCCCCGGCTTCTCGCCAAGGTGAGGCCGCCTGCCTTCTCACCGTCTCCGCTTCGGAAACAATGTCTTCAGGAACAACGCGGGTGAGACAGCGCTGGAAATTCTCGCTGGGGCCGTGCTCTCTCTCCTTTTCCCTCACAGTGTGTGGAGATTACGCCCCAAATCTGACGCAAGTCCAGCCGTCTCTACAAGGATTTTATTGGAAAATTAGAGGCAGCTGTTTTGGTGACTGCTCATCAAATGCTATCAGAAGGCAGCATTGTTGTTTAACCCTTTCCTCCCCCGTCCCTTTTCCTCCTACTCTATCCCCAGAGAAGTCTTTTAAGAAGGGACTAGAAAAAAGCTTTATTATTTTCAATTTGTATGGTTACTTACATGTGTCTTCTTCTTCTGGTAACTAAATGGAATAGGGATTGTGAAGTGCGGAATGGTCACGAGGCTGGAGGCAAAGACCCCAGCAGAATGGTAGGGAGGCTGGAGGCAGACACCAGCTGTGGTAGATGAGGCCAAGCCAGCAGAGAGGGTCTGAGTGTCAGAGAAAATGGAGAAGGGCCAGAGAGGGGTGAGGATGCAGACAGGCCACCTGCGACACCCATGGGGCATGCGTAAGGGGTCCTTGAACCTTAACAGAGATGCTGCTCCTGATAAGGGCCTGTGACCACGAGAGCCTTTCCCCCTAGTCACCGTCCTCACATGCGTGCGTCAGTGACCTGGTGAATATTCAATGTGATGACCCGGTCACTGTCATCACGTGTGTCCATCAGTTACCTGGTGAATACTGAATGTTGTGATGACCCAGTCACCGTCATCACGTGTGTGCGTCAGTTACCTGGTGAATATTGAATGTTGTGATGACCCGGTCACCGTCATCACGTGGATGCATCAGTTACCCAGTGAATATTGAATGTTGTGATGACCCGGTCACCGTCATCATGTGTGTGCGTCAGTTACCTGGTGAATATTGAACGTTGTGATGACCCGGTCACCGTCATCACGTGTCCGTCAGTTACCTGGTGAATATTGAACGTTGTGATGACCCGGTCACCGTCATCACGTGTCCGTCAGTTACCTGGTGAATATTGAATGTTGTGATGACCCAGTCACCGTCATCACGTGTGTGCGTCAGTTACCTGGTGAATATTGAACGTTGTGATGACCCGGTCACCGTCATCACATGTCCGTCAGTTACCTGGTGAATATTGAACGTTGTGATGACCCGGTCACCGTCATCATGTGTCCGTCAGTTACCTGGTGAATATTGAATGTTGTGATGACCCAGTCACCGTCATCACGTGTGTGCGTCAGTTACCTGGTGAATATTGAATGTTGTGATGACCCGGTCACCGTCATCACGTGGATGCATCAGTTACCCAGTGAATATTGAACGTTGTGATGACCCGGTCACCGTCATCACGTGTCCGTCAGTTACCTGGTGAATATTGAATGTTGTGATGACCCGGTCACCGTCATCACATGTCCGTCAGTTACCTGGTGAATATTGAATGTTGTGATGACCCGGTCACCGTCATCATGTGTCCGTCAGTTACCTGGTAAATATTGAATGTTGTGATGACCCGGTCACCGTCATCACGTGTGTCCATCAGTTACCTGGTGAATATTGAATGTTGTGATGACCCGGTCACCGTCATCACGTGTGTCTGTCAGTTAACTGGTGAATATTGAATGTTGTGATGACCCAGTCACCGTCATCACGTGGGTGCGTCAGTTACCTGTTGAATATTGAGTGTTGTGATGACCCAGTCACCGTCATCACGTGTCCGTCAGTTAACTGGTGAATACTGAATGTTGTGATGGCCCGGTTGCCATCATCACATGTGTCCGTCAGTTACCTGGTGAATACTGAATGTTGAGATGACCTGGTCACCGTCATCAAGTGTTTGTGTCAGTTACCTGGTGAATATTCAATGTGATGACCCAGTCACCATCATCATGTGTCCGTCAGTTACCTGTTGAATATTGAATGTTGTGATGACCCAGTCACCGTCATCACGTGTCCGTCAGTTACCTGGTGAATATTGAATGTTGTGAGGACCCAGTCACCGTCATCACATGTGTCCGTCAGTTACCTGGTGAATATTGAATGTTGTGATGACCCGGTCACCGTCATCACGTGTCTGTCAGTTACCTGGTGAATATTGAATGTTGTGATGACCCAGTCACCGTCATCACGTGTCCGTCAGTTACCTGGTGAATATTGAATGTTGTGATGACCCAGTCACCGTCATCACGTGTCCGTCAGTTACCTGGTGAATATTGAATGTTGTGATGACCCAGTCACCGTCATCACGTGTGTCCGTCAGTTACCTGGTGAATATTGAATGTTGTGATGACCTGGTCACCGTCATCATGTGTGTGCATCAGTTACCTGGTGAATATTGAATGTTGTGATGACCCGGTCACTGTCATCACATGTGTGCGTCAGTTACCTGGTGAATACTGAATGTTGTGATGACCCAGTCTCCATCATCACGTGTTTGTGTCAGTTACCTGGTGAATATTCGGTGTGATGACCCAGTCACTGTCATCACATGTGTCCGTCAGTTACCTGGTGAATATTGAGTGTTGTGATGACCCAGTCACCGTCATCACGTGTGTCCGTCAGTTACCTGGTGAATACTGAATGTTGTGATGACCCAGTCACCGTCATCACGTGGGTGCATCAGTCACCTGGTGAATATTGAATGTTGTGATGACTCAGTCACCGTCATCACGTGTGTGCGTCAGTTACCTGGTGAATATTGAATGTTGTGATGACCCAGTCACCGTCATCACGTGTCCGTCAGTTACCTGGTGAATATTGAATGTTGTGAGGACCCAGTCACCGTCATCACATGTGTCCGTCAGTTACCTGGTGAATATTGAATGTTGTGATGACCCGGTCACCGTCATCACGTGTCCGTCAGTTACCTGGTGAGTATTGAATGTTGTGAGGACCCGGTCACCGTCATCACGTGTCCGTCAGTTACCTGGTGAATATTGAATGTTGTGATGACCCGGTCACCGTCATCACGTGTCCGTCAGTTACCTGGTGAATATTGAATGTTGTGATGACCCAGTCACCGTCATCACGTGTCCGTCAGTTACCTGGTGAATATTGAATGTTGTGAGGACCCAGTCACCGTCATCACATGTGTCCGTCAGTTACCTGGTGAATATTGAATGTTGTGATGACCCGGTCACCGTCATCACGTGTCCGTCAGTTACCTGGTGAATATTGAATGTTGTGATGACCCGGTCACCGTCATCACGTGTCCGTCAGTTACCTGGTGAATATTGAATGTTGTGATGACCCAGTCACCGTCATCACGTGTCCGTCAGTTACCTGGTGAATATTGAATGTTGTGAGGACCCAGTCACCGTCATCACATGTGTCCGTCAGTTACCTGGTGAATATTGAATGTTGTGAGGACCCGGTCACCGTCATCACGTGTCCGTCAGTTACCTGGTGAATATTGAATGTTGTGATGACCCAGTCACCATCATCACGTGTGTCCGTCAGTTACCTGGTGAATATTGAATGTTGTGATGACCTGGTCACCGTCATCATGTGGATGCATCAGTTACCTGGTGAATATTGAATGTTGTGATGACCCGGTGACCGTCATCACGTGTGTGTGTCAGTTACCTGGTGAATATTGAATGTTGTGATGACCCAGTCACCGTCATCACGTGTCCGTCAGTTACCTGGTGAATATTGAATGTTGTGATGACCCAGTCACCATCATCACGTGTGTCCGTCAGTTACCTGGTGAATATTGAATGTTGTGATGACCTGGTCACCGTCATCATGTGTGTGCATCAGTTACCTGGTGAATATTGAATGTTGTGATGACCCGGTCACTGTCATCACATGTGTGCGTCAGTTACCTGGTGAATACTGAATATTGTGATGACCCAGTCTCCATCATCACGTGTTTGTGTCAGTTACCTGGTGAATATTCGGTGTGATGACCCAGTCACCGTCATCACATGTGTCCGTCAGTTACCTGGTGAATATTGAGTGTTGTGATGACCCAGTCACCGTCATCACGTGTGTCCGTCAGTTACCTGGTGAATACTGAATGTTGTGATGACCCAGTCACCGTCATCACGTGGGTGCATCAGTCACCTGGTGAATATTGAATGTTGTGATGACTCAGTCACCGTCATCACGTGTGTGCGTCAGTTACCTGGTGAATATTGAATGTTGTGATGACCCAGTCACCGTCATCACGTGTCCGTCAGTTACCTGGTGAATATTGAATGTTGTGAGGACCCAGTCACCGTCATCACATGTGTCCGTCAGTTACCTGGTGAATATTGAATGTTGTGAGGACCCGGTCACCGTCATCACGTGTCCGTCAGTTACCTGGTGAATATTGAATGTTGTGAGGACCCGGTCACCGTCATCACGTGTCCGTCAGTTACCTGGTGAATATTGAATGTTGTGATGACCTGGTCACCGTCATCATGTGGATGCATCAGTTACCTGGTGAATATTGAATGTTGTGATGACCCGGTGACCATCATCACGTGTGTGTGTCAGTTACCTGGTGAATATTGAATGTTGTGATGACCCAGTCACCGTCATCACGTGTCCGTCAGTTACCTGGTGAATATTGAATGTTGTGAGGACCCGGTCACCGTCATCACGTGTCCGTCAGTTACCTGGTGAATATTGAATGTTGTGATGACCTGGTCACCGTCATCATGTGGATGCATCAGTTACCTGGTGAATATTGAATGTTGTGATGACCCGGTGACCGTCATCACGTGTGTGTGTCAGTTACCTGGTGAATATTGAATGTTGTGATGACCCAGTCACCGTCATCACGTGTCCGTCAGTTACCTGGTGAATATTGAATGTTGTGAGGACCCGGTCACCGTCATCACGTGTCCGTCAGTTACCTGGTGAATATTGAATGTTGTGATGACCTGGTCACCGTCATCATGTGGATGCATCAGTTACCTGGTGAATATTGAATGTTGTGATGACCCGGTGACCGTCATCACGTGTGTGTGTCAGTTACCTGGTGAATATTGAATGTTGTGATGACCCAGTCACCGTCATCATGTGTGTGCATCAGTTACCTGGTGAATATTGAATGTTGTGATGACCCGGTCACTGTCATCACATGTGTGCGTCAGTTACCTGATGAATACTGAATGTTGTGATGACCCAGTCTCCATCATCACGTGTTTGTGTCAGTTACCTGGTGAATATTCGGTGTGATGACCCAGTCACCGTCATCACATGTGTCCGTCAGTTACCTGGTGAATATTGAGTGTTGTGATGACCCAGTCACCGTCATCACGTGTGTCCGTCAGTTACCTGGTGAATATTGAATGTTGTGATGACCCAGTCACCGTCATCACGTGGGTGCATCAGTCACCTGGTGAATATTGAATGTTGTGATGACTCAGTCACCGTCATCACGTGTGTGCGTCAGTTACCTGGTGAATATTGAATGTTGTGATGACCCAGTCACCGTCATCACGTGTGTCCGTCAGTTACCTGTTGAATATTGAATGTTGTGATGACCCAGTCACCATCATCACGTGTGTCCGTCAGTTACCTGTTGAATATTGAATGTTGTGATGACCCAGTCACCATCATCACGTGTGTCCGTCAGTTACCTGTTGAATATTGAATGTTGTGATGACCCAGTCACCATCATCACGTGTGTCCGTCAGTTACCTGTTGAATATTGAATATTGTGATGACCCGGTCACCATCATCACGTGTGTCCGTCAGTTACCTGGTGAATATTGAATGTTGTGATGACCCGGTCACCGTCATCACGTGTCCGTCAGTTACCTGGTGAATATTGAATGTTGTGATGACCCGGTCACCGTCATCACGTGTCCGTCAGTTACCTGGTGAATATTGAATGTTGTGATGACCCGGTCACCGTCATCACGTGTCTGTCAGTTACCTGGTGAATATTGAATGTTGTGATGACCCGGTCACCGTCATCACGTGTGTCCGTCAGTTACCTGGTGAATATTGAATGTTGTGAGGACCCGGTCACCGTCATCACATGTGTCCGTCAGTTACCTGGTGAGTATTGAATGTTGTGATGACCCGGTCACCGTCATCACGTGTGTCCGTCAGTTACCTGGTGCATATTGAATGTTGTGATGACCCGGTCACCGTCATCACGTGTGTCCGTCAGTTACCTGGTGAGTATTGAATGTTGTGATGACCCGGTCACCGTCATCATGTGTGTCTGTCAGTTACCTGGTGAGTATTGAATGTTGTGATGACCCGGTCACCGTCATCACATGTGTGCGTCAGTTACCTGGTGAATATTGAATGTTGTGATGACCCGGTCACCGTCATCACGTGTGTCCGTCAGTTACCTGGTGCATATTGAATGTTGTGATGACCCAGTCACCGTCATCACGTGGGTGCGTCAGTTACCTGGTGAATACTGAATGTTGTGATGACCCGGTCACTGTCATCACGTGTCCGTCAGTTACCTGGTGAATACTGAATGTGGTGATGACCCAGTCACCGTCATCACGTGGGTGCATCAGTTCTGGTGAATACTGAATGTTGTGATGACCCAGTCACCATCCTCACGTGTGTGTGTCAGTTACCTGGTGAATGTTGAATCCTGTGATGAATAGCTATGATTTCACTAGACCGGTATTGGATTTTTTTGTGAATTTACCACTTTTCACTATTATAATAATGTGATACATTTCTTAGTTCTTAAATCCTTGCCTAGATATCTCTTTTCAGTTGGATTCCTAGAAATGAGATTCAGTTAAAGGACATAAACACACACGTTCAAGGCTTTAGAAAGTCACTTGGCCAAGTGCGTAAGACACACGATAGAGACTGCAGCCCCCACGGCAGGAGCTCCCATCCTCCCCAATATCAGCGGTTTCACATTTGGCTTTTGGGTAACTTTGGAGCAGAAAAATTTTGCATTATTAGTTTTTATTTCTTCAGCTAGTGAAGTTGGGCATTTTGTGTTTGCTGTATGTATTTTACGGATTCCTTATTGACGTCTTTGGGGTAAGGTTCTAAAGGTAGAGAAGGCCCCTACCATGCATGTGGGTGGAAAGCCTGTACCTGGGCCTTCTCGGCACTCTCTCTGCATAGCTCCTCCTGCTCCATGGAGTATTTCCACATAGGGTCGGATTTCTTTCGTATTCTTAATTTCACTTTGACACTTGATTCATCCTCTTTTTTAGAGACTTTGGTTATTGTTGTTCTACCATAAGCTCCATATACTGTTTGGTAGTCCCAGGCATCAGTTCTCTGTGATGAGAGGGGCTGCAGGAAGGGGCTGCGCCAGCTGGCAGCACAAGGGCCTGGAGTCCGACTGCAACAGTGAGCTTGCACGCGGAGGTGCACGGAGCCAGCCAGGGGATAGCTAGGTATTTTTTCTTTACCCATATGAAAGAGCACTTCACATAAAACGGTTTTCTTTTCAAAATTAAAAATGTTTAGAAGTATATCTTTTTTCTTTTAATATGAATGAGGCTTTCAATGTAGTTTTCTTTCTTTTCCCAAAAGCTTCCAATATACCTGCAAACAAGCTTTATTTAGCAGAACTTTTCCCAAGAACCCAGTTCGTCACTGCCAGACTGCCTCTACCTCGGGGCCACAGAAAAAAGTACCGTAGAAATTTCTGGAAGGTTGGGGATTTTTGCATTTTTTTTTTTTTCTGAGTGCAGCTTTAAATAATTTTCAAGAATAAGAAAATACAGTAAAGCTCACTTGGTGGAACACAGGAGTTTTGTGTTCTAGTTTAAGCAAATAGTTTATTTGAAAAGTGTTAGCGAGAGGATAGAAAAATGTTTATGTGCATGAGAAGTAACTGCAAAACGAAATTTGGCAAAAGTTTCTCATTTTGAATATACATAGGAAAGTCATAACAGAAAATGAAATTAAGAATTTAGGTATAGTTGTTTGTTGTTCAATGAAAATTGTGCCTTTACAGGTCAGGATGAGA
>NT_187591.1:0-56134 GCF_000001405.40 Homo sapiens
CACTGCTGCTTGTGGGTTGTGTGATATACGTGCATATATGCGTGCATCTGTGTGTATCTGTGTGTGTGCACACCTGTGTGTGCATGTGTGTGTGCATGTGTGCACCTGTGTGTGCATTTGTGGGCATGTGTGCGTGCATGTGTGCACCTGTGTGTGCATGTGTGTGCACGTGTGTGCATTTGTGGCATGTGTGTGCATGTGTGCCCCTGTGTGTGCATCTGTGTCCATGTGTGTGCATCCGTGTGTATGTATGCACCTGTGTGTGTATGTATGCACCTGTGTGTGCATGTGTCTGTGTACCTGTGTGGGCATGTGTGTGCACCTGTGTGTGCATGGGTGTTCATGTGTGTGCACCTGTGTGCATCTGTGTGCATGTGTGTGCATCCATGTATGGGTGTGTATGCACCTGTGTGTGCATCTGTGCACATGTGTGTGCTTCTCTGTGTGCATGTGTGCTTACCCATATCTCAAAGTGGGGGCCAGAGGATGCCACGCAGAAGGCCCCAAGCAGAGCTGGCCAGGGAGGAAGAAACATCAGGCCTGATCCCTCTGCATCCCCACAGCATTTTTTTCTGGGGATTCTAACACAAACTGAAGTCCTTCAGCCTCACTGCATTCATCTGTTTGCCCCAGGAAGCTCCAGCTCGAGCCATGCACCACCCACGCCCCTCCAGAGCTCGGTGGTCACACAGCCCCACCCCATTTTCCATGCACCTAAGCTGCCCAGGGCTGTGCTACAGTCAGCCCCAGTAACTGTGATCAATGAGCCTGGCTGGGGAGGTGCCAGGGTACCAGCGGGCAGGGGAATGGGAGGAAGCCCATGGGGTGGGACCCTTTCCTAGAAGAGCCACTGCTTTCCCAGACCTTGGTTAGAGGGACCCCCTTTACAGGGCTTTCCACCAAGAAAACGATCACCTGGCTTTAACCAACGCCCTAAGAGGCTGCTGTCCCCATCACCTTCGTGCATGCCACAGTTCATGAAATGTCTCCTTTAGGCACGGGTATTTAAGCTGTGGGGTTTGGAAACCGGAGTATCACTGACAGAAGCAGACCTGGTGAGCAACCCGCCGGGTGCTGGGTCCAGCTCTCAAACAGCTTTGCCTGCACTCAGCAGTGCCTCAATCCTTTTTTATGTCCATGCTCTTCAATAGGTCAGGCATTGCCCCCCACTCCCCCTGTGCCTCCTCCTGTACCCAGCCACTTCAAAGTTCTATGTTCCCTGTCTGATCTCAGAGGGCAGGTGGGTTTGCAACCCCTGACCAGGAGTCGGTCCTGGTCCAAGCATTCCTTGGAGAGACTACATTTCCCAGCATTCCTTGTGGCTAGGTCTGGTCCAGTTCTGGGTTTGAGCTAATGAAGAAACAGCAAAATGATGTAGGCCAAAAGCCAGGCCTCTCACACCGAACAGCTAGCCAAGCTGTGAAGGCAAATGAAAAGTTCTTGAAGGAAATTAAAAGTGCTTCTCCAGTAAAACATGAATAAGAAAGCAAAAAGGCTTTTCTTTTTGCTGATATGGAGAAGGGTTTAGTGGTCTGAATAGAAGATCAAAGTAGCCACAGCATTCCTTTAAGCCAAAGCCCAATCTAGAGCAAGGCCCTAACTCTCTTCAAGTCTATGAAGGTTGAGAGAGGTGAAGGAGCTGCAGAAGAAAAGCTGGAAACTAGCAGAGGTTGGCTTACGAAGTTTAAGGAAAGACACCATCTCCATAAGATAGAAGTGCAAGGTGAAGCAATGACTGCTGATGGAGAAGCCGCAGTAAGTTATCCAGAAGATCTAGTAAAGGCCATGGATGGTGGCGGCACTAAACAACAGATTTTCGGTGTAGACAAAACAGTCTTCTATTAGAAGAAGATGCCATCTAGGACTTTCACAGTGGGGGAAGAGAAGTCAATGCCTGGCTTCAAAGCATCAAAGGACAGGCTGACTCATGTTAGGGGCTAATCCAGCTGGTGACTTTAAGTTGAAGCCAGTGGCCATTTACCATTCCCCAAATCCCAGGGCCCTGAAGAATTATGCTAAGTCTACTCTTCCTGTGCTCTGTAAATGGAACAACAAAGCCTGGATGACAGCACATCTGCTTACAGCATGGTTTATTCAATATTTTAAGCCCACTGTTGAGATCTACTGCTCAGAAGAAAAGATTTCTTTCAAAATACTACTGCTCATTGACGATGCACCTTGTCTCTCAAGAGCTCTGATGGAGATGTACAAGAAGATTAATTCCTGTAAACACAATATCCATTTTGCAGCCCATGGATCAAGGAGTAATTTTTTTACTTTCAAGTCTTATTCAAGAAATACACCAGCCTGGGCAACACAGAGACTCCCATCTCTATTTTAAAAAATTAAAAATTAGCCAGGCATGAGAAAGACAGCAGGCCTCGCTATTCACAGGCATGTTCCTGTGGTCCCAGCCACTTGGGAGGCTGAGGTGAGCGCATGGCTTCAGCCTAGGAGGTCGAGGCTGCAGTGAACCATGATTACACACCACTGCACTCCCACCTGGGCAACCGAATGAGACCCTATCTCAAACCAAAAAAAAAAAGGAAATACATTTTATGAGGCTATAGCTGCCATAGTCATCAATAGTGATTCCTCTGAAGAACCTGGGCAAAGTACATTGAAAACCTCTGGAAAGAATTCACAACTCCACATGCCATTAAGAACATTCACGATTCATTGGAGGAGATCAAAATAACAACATTAACAGGAGTTTGGAAGAAGTTGATTCCAACCCTCATGGATGACTTTGAGGGACTCAAGGCTTTAGTGGAGAAAGTCACCACAGATGTAGTGGAAATAGCAAGAAAACTAGAACTGGAAGTGGAGCCTGAAAATGGGACTGAATCACCGCAGTCTCATGAGAAAACCTGAACAGATGAGGAGTTGCTTCTTATGAATGAGCAAAGAAACTGGTCTCTTGAGATGAAATCTACTCCTGGTGAAGATGCTGTGAACATTGTTAAAATGACAATAAAGGATTTAGAATATTTCACAGACTCAGTTGCTAAGCAGTGGCATGGTTTGAGCAAATTGACTCTAATTTTGAAAGAGGTTCTACTGTGGGTAAAATGCTATCAAACAGCATCACATGCTACAGAGAAATCTTTATTGAAAGGAAGAGTCAAACAATGTGGAAAACTTCATTGTTGTCTTATTTTAAGACATTGCCACAGCCAGCCTAACCCTGAGCAATCAGCACTCTGATCAGTCAGCAGACATTCACACTGAGGCAAGACCCTCCGCCAGCAAAAAGATCAGGACTCACAGAAGGTTCAGATGAACCTTAGCATTTTCTAGGAATAAAGTATTTTTAATTAAGGTATGTGCATTGTTTTTTACACATAATGCTATTGCACACTTAACAGTCTACAGTATCTTGTAAATGTAATTTTTATATGCACTGAGAAAACAAAATATTCATGTGACTTGCTTTATTGCAGTATTCGCTTTACTGTAGTGGTCTGGAACCAAACCCACAATATCCCTGAGGTATACTGGCTTCAGTTTCTTGAAACATTCTTTGGGGTCACTAAAGTGTATTCTGTTTGCTCATTAAAAGCAGATATCAAATATGCACAGCTCATCTGTTGGCCCAGCACCACCTGGCCATGTGTCTTTTAGGACCAGCTGCCCCTTTCCTTTGGGGAGCAGCCTCTCCCCACCCCAGAGGCTCTGGTGAGAACCAACCACCGCTATCATCCTTTCTCTTTTGCCACAGAAGTTTACCCTAAGGCACAGCACTCAAACAGCACCAGTCAGAGCCTTCCCTGGGATTTAGACACAGAAGTCTGGGAGAACAGAACCAATCAGAGCCCTTCCCTGGGATTTAGAGACAGGTTTCTGGGAGAATGGGACCAATCAGAGCCTTTCCCTGGGATTTAGACACAGAGGTCTAGGAGAACAGGACCAATGAGAGCCCTTCCCTGGGATGTAGACACAGGGCTCTGGAAGAACAGGACCAATGAGAGCCCTTCCCTGGGATGTAGACACAGGGTTCTGGAAGAACAGGACCAACCAGAGCCCTTGCCTGGGATGTAGACACAGGGCTCTGGAAGAACAGGACCAATCAGAGCCCTTGCCTGGGATGTAGGCACAGGGTTCTGGAAGAACAGGACCAATCAGAGCCCTTCTCTGGGATTTAGACACAGGGCTCTGGAGGAAAGATGCTCTCCCAGTACTCTGGGCCCACCAGCTGGGGTAATGGACACCTGGAGCTGCTGCAGACCTGCCTCCCCTCCTGCTGCCAGCACGCAATGGGACCTCACTCCCCATTGTGGGCTTGGACAGGCAGCATCAACATCACTGGGATGATTGATAGAAATACAGCATTCTAAGCTCCACCCAGAGCTCCTGAATCAAAATCTGTACTGTAAGGAATCCTCATGGGAGGTTTCACATGGGAGCCTGAGAAGCGTCCAGCACGAGAACATGAGGCCAGTGCACACCCCGTCCATTCCATGGCGCATCCAAGAACTTCTCAGATGCTCCCCTGAGTCCGAGGTGGGGTGCCCTGTGAGGGAGGCTGGCCCTCCTCTGCTAATTATGCCCCGAGATGCCCTGGAGAAGGAGTTCAGCCAACACACTGGGATTCTCACATATAATCCCATTCACAAGGCCATGAGGGCGGGTGTAGAGCTTGAGAAGTTGCCCTTCATTTATTTGTCTTTGGAATGAACTCCCGAGCCCCTTTCTGGAAGGGATCCCAGCTGGCTTCTCACTCTTTTGTCTCTTGCAGGACAAAGACTGAATCTGCAAGCAGTCGGCCTCTCTGGAAGTTCCCCAGACCTTTTTCATTGAAGGATTTCTGTAACGGGCTCCAGCCCTGGCCCTCTGCTCCTTTTGCTCTCTCCCGTCCACTCCTCCTGGCTTTGCTTTGGGAGAAGTGACCTTCCTCTCCTGGACACACCCAGGAACTGTCCATCATGGCAACCCCTGCCTGCAGCCAAGTGGTGGATGTGTGACTCGGGCTGGCCACTCACCCCCTGGAATGTGATACCAGAGCAGAGGGACCCCAGACTGAGGAGCATGGAGGTAATAATTCCAGGAATCTCTCTGTTCAGGAGTGTTTGGCCCCCAGTATTTCATTACCTTTTTTTATTAATAGAGACAGGGTCTCGCTGGGTCACCCAGGCTGGAGTGCAGTAGTATAATCACAGCTCACTGCAGCCTCAACCTCCCGGACTCAAGTGATCCTCCCACCTCAGCCTCCTGAGTAGCTGGGACTACAGACACACACCACCACGCCTGGCTAATTTTTTATTTTTTATTTTTTTGTAGAGATGGGGTCTTGCTGTGTTGCCCAGGCTGGTCTCAAAGTCCTGGTCTCAAGCAATCTTCCTGCCTCAGTCTCCCAAAGTGTTGGGATCACAGGCATGAGCCACCACATCCTTTTTTTTATGGCCGGATAATATTTCATTGTATGTATACACAATCTTCCCCCTTTATCTGCAGGGGATAAGTTCCAAGACCCCCCAGTGGATGCCTGAAACCATGGATAGTATTGAACCTTATACACACTGCTTTTTTCCTATACATACATAGCTACGATAAAGTTTAATTTATAAATGACACGAGGTAAGAGATTAACAACAATAACCACTAACAGGACAATTATAACAATGTACTGTTCACAATGTCATGGAAAGACAATTCATTCTTACTGTAGGTCCTGGCAACCTCATTATGTGATTGTTTTTCTTTCCTCATTAAGTACAGAACTTTCACCTTTTTACTTAAAGGAAGCACTTTATGGCTTTCTTGGACATGTGCAAATCGCCGGCACCACTAGCCTTGTGCTTCTGGCTGTTCATTAAGTAAAATCAGGGTTCCTTAAACACCAGCACTGAAGACACAAGTCCAGCGACACCGAGACAGTAAGTCTGATGACCAAGGCAGCTACTAAGTGGCCAGTGGGCAGACCGAGCATACAGCAGGGTACGCTGGGCAGAGAGATGATTCACATCGCGGGTGGCACGGTGAGAGAGTTTATCTGCTACTCATAATGGCGTGCAACTTAAAACTTATGACTTGTTTATTTCCGAAATTTTCTATTTAATATTTTTGGACTGTGATTGACCATGAGTAACTAAAACCTCAGAAAGCAAAACCTCAGATAAGGAGGGGCTCCTGTACTACATTTTGTTAAACCATTTGTTATTTGATGGACATGTGGGTTGTTCCCAGCTTTTGACTATTATGAATAAAGCTGCCCTGAAGGTTGGTGTCCAGGTTTTTCTGTGCACATATGTTTTGCTTCTTCTTGGGTATGTAACTAGGAGTGGAGTTGCTGTGTGGTGTGGTGACTCTATGTTTAACCATTTGAGGAACTGCCAAACTGTTCTCCAACGTGGCTGCACCATCTTCCACTCCCACCAGTGGTGGTGAGGATTCGGATTTCTCCACATCCTCAGAAACACTTGTTATTATCTGACTTTTTCATCATAGGCATTTTAGTGTGTGTAAAGTGGTGTCTTACTGTGGTTTTGATTTGCATTTCCCTGATGACTAACGGTGCCAATCATTCTTCATGTGCTTATTGTGTATTTAATGAGGCAATGTATATATTTTCCTCGGAGAAATGACTATGCATATCCTTTGCCCATTTTGTAATTGGATTGACTTTTTATTATTGAATCAAAAGAGTTCTATGGTAGGATTTGCGCATATATATATATGCATATATATATATATATATATATATTTTGTAATATAGAGACAGGGTCTCACCATGTTGCCCAGGCTGGTCTTGAACTCCTGGCCTCAAGCAATCCTCCTGCCTTGGCCTCCCACAGTGCTGGGATTACAGGCATGAGCCACCATGCCTGGCCTTCCACTTTCTTGATGGTGTTCTTTGAAGCACAAAGGTTTTCCATTTTGATGAAATCCAATTTATCTATTTTTTCTTTTGTGGCTCATTTTTGTTGTTGTTGCTCATGGTTTTAATCCTTACCTAAGAACTTTTGGCCAAATCAACATCAGTAGTGTTTTCCTCTAAGAGGTTTTATAGTTTTAGCTCTGACAGGTAGGTCTTTGATCCACTTTGAGTTGGCTTTTGGGTATGGTGGGTGGTTGAGTCCAGCTACATTCTATGGCATGTGGAAATCCAGTGGTCCCAGCACCGTATGTTGAAAGAACAATTCTTACCCCATTGAGTGGTCTTGACACCGTTATGGGAAATCAATTGGCCCCAGATATATGATTTTATTTCTGGAGTCTCAATTTTATTCCATTAATCTTGATGTCTATCCTTGTGCCAGCACCACCCTGTCTTGATTACCACTGCTTTACGGTAAGTTTTGAAAGCAAGAGCTGTGGGCTGTTCTACTTCCTTCTCCTTTTTCAAGGTAATTATCACTATTCGGCATCCCTTGAAATCCTGAATGAATTTTAGAATCAGTTTGTCAGTTTCTACAGAGAAGTCAGCTGGGATAATGATAGGGATTGTGAGGAATGTGTAGATCAATTTAGGGAGTGTTGCCATCCTAATATTAGGTCGTCTGATTCAATAATATGAGATGCTTTTTCACTTGTCTAGTTCTTAAGTTTTTCTAAACAATGTTCTGTAGTCTTCAAAGTATATGTTTTATACTTGTTTGTTGTTAAATTTATGTCTTGATTATTTTATTCTTTTTGATGCTATTATAAATGGAATTATTTTCTTAAACTCATTTTTTATTTTGTATTCCAAGTGTATAGAAAGGCAATTGATTTTGTAAATTAATCTTGTATCCTGCAACCTTGTTGAATTCATGGGTTTTTTGGGGGTTTGTTTGAGACAGCCTTGCTCTGTCACCCAGGCTGGAGTGCAGTGGCATGATCTCTGCTCACTGCAGCCTCCACCTCCCAGGTTCAAGCGATTCTCCTGCCTCAGCCTCCCAAGTAGCTGGGATTACAAGTGCATGCCACCACACCCATCTAATTTTTGTATTTATTCTAAATGAGTTAACGCCATGTTGGGCAGGTTGGTCTTGAACTCCTGACCTCAAATGATCCACCCACCTTGGCCTCCCAAAGCGCTGGGATTACAGGTGTGAGCCACCATGCCTGGCCCATATCTGTTTTTAATATGAACATTTTTTCCTTAACAAATGTCAGATCTAGGTAATCTTTAGCTCAAATTGTACCAACTAATTTTAAATTTCATCTCTTATAGTGGGGAATATAGGGATTGTAATGGCCTAATGGTAAAGATTTTGCTTGACTCAAAAGCATTCTCGGGGTTAGAAACACTTCTCTTCACTGCGTAATCCCCATGCAAATAGAACAAGGCTGTTTATGTGGACACCATCAGTAACCACTTCTCATGTGGCTAAGGTCAATCAATTGCTAAAATTTCAACTGCCAGCGTTACAGGAAAGGGGTCCCGACCCAGACCCCAAGAGAGGGTTCTTGGATCTCACACAAGAAAGAATTCAGGACGAGTCTGCAGTGCAAAGCAAAAGCAAGTTTATTAAGAAAGCGGGGAAAGTACAGCTACTCCATAGACAGAGTAGGGCGTTCCTAAAAATAAGAGGAGGAAGGCGTCCACCCTAGGTCCAATGCTTGTATATATGGGGAGATGTGTTCTGCTACAAGGGTTTGTGATAAAGGATTAATTTTCTTAATTACTACATTTTGCAAGAATTGATATTATCTTTAAAGCAAAATTAGGAATGCCTTTGTTCTGCAGATATCGGGATATCTGCACACTTCTAAGTCTGGGTCTGTTTAGTAAAGATTATTAATTTGTTCCCTTAACCGTAAATATCTAGAAGCCAGGAATGCCTAACTTTCTGGGAACACAGCGCAGTAAGTCCCAACCTCATTTTCCAGCCCTCACTCAAGATGGAGTTGCTCTGGTTCGAACACCTCTGACATCAGGGTAGAACAGACTGCCTCGAGACAAATCACATGTTTACAGGGTCCAGGTAATTACACATAATGAATCACGCAGGTTGGACAGAGAAAAAAGGGCGATGCTACCAGACAGAACAAAGTGACCACAGGGAGTGGTGGAGACTGCAGTAAGCCGGAGGGCACATGTCCTTTCCAGAGGGCGGCACTGCCCCTCAGCTCCAGCCCATCATCCTGATGTGGCCCAGGGGTGGCTCACTGCTCCACTATTCAAATGAACCTATAAATCTAGCTTTGTCTCAAATGTTAATGTTAGCAATGAATAAAAAATGGGTAGGCCGAATAATGAAGACCCATGGATTAGATGTAGCCTGTGGGTCACAGCGTGACTTGGCCATGCATTTTCAGCCAGAGGGCTCAGGTCTCCCATGAGGAGAGCTTCTTGGAACCGCCCAATGCGTTCTTCTAGTTTGGGGAAAGGGGTGGGGGTGGCTTTGGGGCAATGTGTGCTTGCTGCCTATTGGTTGGGGTGCAATCATAGGAGCATGGGAAATGATCTTCTTGCTTACTAACTCGATTCTGGGTGGGGCCACAGGAGCAGTTGGCAGGACCAGATGGAGCCGTCAGTCATCAGACATGCAAAAAACCTGAAAAGATATCTGAAAAGGCCAATCTTACATCCTACAATAGTAATGTTATCTGCAGGAGTAATTGGGGAGTTGCATGTCTTGTGACCTCTGGAATAATGGCTGGCAATGGTTTATGTCTACACCTTAGAAGAATTCAGCCTGCTCTATCCTCCCAGCCAGGTGGTCTCTCATTAGCTTTACAAAGGCAGTTGAGTTTGGGGGAAGGACTTATTATCATTTAAACTATAAACTAAATGTTTCCCAACATTCGCTTGGCTTAAGCCCAGGAATAATTGAAGGCTAAAGGCAAAATGGAGGTTAACTAGATCAGATCTCCCCCACTGCCACAATTTTCTCACTGATATAATTTTTGCAAAGCGATTTCATTCTTGTCCCCCCAGGGGGCTCGCTGCCTCAGTGCAATCAGAGTGAGGCTGGGGCAGACAGAATATTCCTCTATGGAGCCGTTCTTCAAGAAAAAGACTACGTGGTCAAGGTGCAGAACTGGAATCCCAAAGCTCCAGCCTCACTTCGTGAAAAGCCAAGAGGAACTACTACATGTCACCCATTGTGTTACCAGAAAGGGGTCCCAATCTAGACCCCAAGAGAGGGTTCTGGATCTCATGCAAGAAAGGATTCGAGGTGAACCCATAAAGTGAAAGCAAGCTTATGAAGAAAGTAAAGGAATGAAAGAATGGCTACTCCACAGGCAGAGTAGCCCTGAGGGCTGCTGGTTGACTATTTCTACAGTTATTTCTTGATTATATGCTAAACAAGGGGTGAATTATTCATGAGCTTTCTGGGAAAGGGGTAGGCAATTCCTGGAAGGTTCCTCTGCCTTTTCAGACGATATAGGGTAACCTCCTGACATTGCCATGGCATTTGCAAACTGTCGGGGTGCTGGTGGGAGTGTCTTTTAGTAGTGAATGCATTATAATTAGCATATAACAAGCAGTGAGGATGACCAGAGGTCACTTTGGTCGCCATCTTGGATTTGGCAGGTTTTGGCTGGCTTCTTTACTGCAACCTGTTTTATTAGCAAGGCCTTTGTGACCTGTAACTTATGCCTGACCTTCTATCCCATCCTGTGACTTAGAATGCCTAACCTCCTGGGAATGCAGCCCAGCAGGACTCAGCCTTATTTCACCCAGCCCCTACTCAAAATGCAGTCACTCTGGTTCAAACGCCTCTGACAACTGGTTTCACAGATGAGACTGTACCAGGGCCCTCTGGCTGGCAGGATGTGCCCAGCCTGACCCTGTCCAAGCAAAGGGCTTTGGGGTTCAAGAGCGTGAAGCAGAGAGTTAAGCGAATCTCCCAGAAATGACAGAGCCATTCTCCAGCAGAACCCAGCCTGGTGAGCCTTGATGAGGACCCTGAATTAAACAGAGCAGGAACCTAGTTTATCAACTCCTCAGGTTTTCTAGGAATTCCGAAGCCCAAACACGGCCAGGGGTGGGAGGGAGATCTGGTGACAAATGAGGCTAAAATTCTGCTCCGTCCACCTGCAGCTGAACCTAGGGAGGACTGGAGGCCTGGCCGTGGGGAGACTCAGCCTCTGGCTGTACTTGTGGACCCCTCCAAATCCTCACCTCGGGTCCAGGGGGAAGGCAGAAGGGAGGCAGGGCAACGCAGAAGGTTCTGCACAGCCATGCTCTGCCGCCTTCCCTGTCCTCCTCTCCCCTCCCCTCGTGACCAGACCCTCTTTGCAATCAGGGAGGGTATGTCAGCTTGGGGCTGCCCTTCCGTTTGAAGTTGGCATTTCAGTGGTCGGTTTTGCTCTTTTTTGCTTCCTGTTTACAGAAGTTCTTCCCACCTACCTCTTCTCTCAGCAACATGGAGCCCTCCAGGAAATCTCCAAGAGGCCTCTGTGAAAACATCTCACTTAGATGTTCATGTTTTTCCCCGTCCCAGATGTGCCTCTGTATCACCCTGAAGGCTTCTCTTGCTACATCTGGGGAGGGGCAGTGGCAGCACCGGGGCCCAGGGACCATCAGGGAGGTGAGACCAGGGTAGACAGGCCCGAGAGCCTGCAGGGTGGCCACGGCCCTGATGGGCAGGAGCTCCCTGGTGTCCATACAGGCTGGAGCAGGCCATAGCCAGGGCTGTGACCACTGCGGTCCCTGTTCTCAGCTGTAGGACTGTCACCACCCTCCAGGGTGTCCCAGATAGCAGGGACAGCTGTACCCAGCCCACACTCCCTGCCCACCAAACACAGTGCCCAGCACAGGGTGGACATTCCGTGAGTCTCTTAAGTGAATGAAGCCACGGCCTTAAGGAATAACTGTTCTGCTTTGCACTATTTCAAAGGGACGCCAACTCGGCGGGCTGAACTGAGATGGAGCCACTGCAGATGGTGACAGAAGCCACAGCAGGGACAAGACAGCAGTGCCCTCAGGCTGGAGGCGGACACCCCCCACCAGCTCCACCCACCATGGTGGCTGTTGGCTCCAAAGCACAGGGTTGGTCTCTCAAGTTCAGACCTCTAGACCTCTGACCCTGGGCTCCAGGAGCCCAGAGCTCCCCAGGCAAGGTCCCCAGAGCACCCACTCCTGAAGCCTGTTCGGACACAGGCCAACGCTCAGTCAACATGTCGCATTCTTGCTTATTTTCAGCAGCTGTTCCTACAGCAAAAACCCAGACCTGCTGAACCTCAGGTCTACAGCAATGCCGTCTACACCCTGCACCAAAACTCAGCCTCGGCCAGAGATCTAGTGCAGCGGTTCTGAGTGTGGCATCAACCATCAGCGTCAGCATCACCTGGGAACCTGCTGCCTCACACTCCTGGGTCAGCAGTTCCCAACCCTGCTGCAGGTTAGACTCACCTGGGAAGAGTTTTAAATCCCTGAGGCACAGGCCCCATCTGATACCAATTATAGCCCAGGTCTGTGTGGGAAGCAGATGTCAGTAATTGGGAAAGGCCCCCAGGTGATCAGGGCAGTTTGGGAGCTGCTGATCAGTGGTGCTGCTGCTGTGTGGGCAGCACCCACCGCGCCTTCGGCCTCAGGCCTCCCATCTGCGGATGGCAGCTCAGCCCTCGCTCACCAAGGTGTGGGCACATGATGGAGCGTGCCAGGCTGCGGGCAAGCGGAGCAGGGGCCCAGCCTGCCAATTCTTGCAGAAGCCGAGTAAGGCCAACCAAGGCAGCCGTTCTGGAGCCAGCAGGGCTGCACTCAAAGACTGGATAGCTTGAGGGTTTTTCTCAGCCTCTGTGATTCACAGCCGACCGTGAATCACTCCTGAGTTACAGGAATCACGCTCCCTCTGTGAGAAGGACAATCCCTGGCTGTCTGAGTTTGGGGTGGGGGAAGCCTAGACTCCGCAGCCTGCGCCTCCCCTTTCAGTGGAAGCTCATTCCCCGCCCCACCCCCCCCCCACATACACACACACAGGCCCTGGCATCCTCCCCTGGACCCAGCGTGTGCAGGAGGCAGGGCCTCAGCCTGACCCAGGGGGGCTGCAACATCGTCCTGGACCCCATCAGGAGTGGGACAGCTGTTGCCACGATACCTGTGTCAGCTCCCCTGGAGGGGACCGGCGTGCTGTGGGGCTCAGAGACAAAGCAGAGAGGCCGAGGCCGGGTGGAGCTGCCTGTGTGGAGTGCTGGCTCGGGCCGTGGCAGCGAGTTCAAACTTCCTTGGGGCTAGACTTCCCTCTCCATGGGCATCGTGGCTGTCACGGGAAAGGTGGGCGCTATGTGGCCAGGACCAGGGAGACAGAAGTGTCCCCTTCCAGGTTCATGAACTCCCCAGGAGAGGGGAGAGGGCAGTCACAGGGGAGCCCGCCAGCATCCCTGAGGATATAGGAGGACTTTGAGGAAATGGGGCCCCCTGGCCCTCGGGAGAACAGCCACAGTCTCTGGTTCTCTTTTCTGGTTTTTGTCAAACCATCTCAGTTTGGGTCCTGAAGTTAGCCCATGAGGTGGGCATCGTGTACGGCCAAGAGGACCTTGAAGACCTGGATCTCCCACAAGTAGGAGCATCCAAGAATCCTTCCTGTAGCCTGGAGATTCCTGCACAGCAGCCTCAACAGCAATAGGCAGGCTGCAAGCGGGGCCAAAAGGAACCTGCCCCAGGACGCCTGGGCAGGCTGCGAGCGGGGCCAACAGGAACCTGCCCCAGGACGCCTGGGCAGGCTGCGAGCACGGCCAACAGGAACCTGCCCCAGGACGCCTGGTCCTCCACCCGCTGTGCTTTACCACGGCTGACCTGCCCACAGAGCAGAGCGGTCAGTGACAATCTAGGAGATGCTGCTGGACCTCGTGACCTCAAGTCAGTGCCAGCAGCTACAGGGCAGTTTCACAGTTAACCACGGCACGGCCTTTCCTCAGGCGGGCAGGGGCAAAGCCAGGGACCTTTGAGCCCTGGGGTTGAAAGGAGCAAGCCCCATGAATAGCTCCATCAGAGGACATAAGATGGGTTGTCTCTGACACTATCTGGTTTGATTTTCCAGAACCTTCTGAAGAATTGGCAAAGCCAGCGATGGCGGCCACATCACTGTCCATCTGGTGGGTGCATCGTGCCCTGCCCTGCTTGACGGTAAGGTCAGAGATTAACATGCAATGAATGAGGCAAATGCAGGAGTCGGGGGGGTGGGAGCACTGCGGGCTCCTTCTGCTCATGCAGAGGGCAACTGGGAATGAAGAGCAGGAAGGTCACACTTTCCCACGGGGAGCTGCGCAGGTCACGATGCCCTAATCAGTCAGGGGAGCAGAGGCCTGGGTGGCCTCATCTCAGCATGGAGGTGACAACCCCTCAAGGGAGCCAGCAAAAACTAGCAGATGGCTCCTCAGCTCCTGCACAGATAAGTCTACCCTGGACACCAGGCCGGTGAGTGACCATGACAACACGCCAACGTCGAGATCCAGCAGTCTGTGTCTACACAGAGAAAGGATCCGATCCCACATGTGCAGGAGGAGGGGCACAGAGTGATTCCTGAGCGCGGCTGGAGACAGGACAGGTGGAGACACCAGCATGTGCCCCAGGAGGGGTTTGATCAGGACACCTGGGGGTCCCGGTTCAAAGGCATGATCTAAAAGACACGTACACGTGGCTGCATCCAGGCAACCTCGTGTCAGGGAAAAACAAGCTGCAGAGCTCAGAGGAAAGATTAATAAAGACCCCAATATGCTCAATGTTGTGCATGAATTTAAAATGTACATAAATGGACAAGAAAGTCACACAGCACTCACCACGGTCACTGCCTCTCGGAGCAGAGGGGCCACGGGGTTTCTGGCATCCTCTACAATGTCTTACTTGTTGCAATTTTTAATGTGAACATAAATATTAATAATTATAAATTATGAACAATAGGTGCATGCTTTTGCTGTAGCATCCCTTTCAGCTTTTCTGTTATTAAAATGTCTTTAAAAAGAGAACTCAACATGCTACTTTGCTTTTAACAAAACCCACATCTGCTTTTCATCCATAAATTGTTTCTCCAAAGTTGGATGGCTAGTTCAAAAAGAATTTGCTCCCAAATCTTCCAAGTTTCCAAATAAGTGAATAAAAACAGATCTGTAGCCCACTGAGTTAACCATGGCAATCCCAACAAAGCCACAGGGTCACTCACCCACTTTGCAAATGTCCAGATGGATGCCTTCCTAAAGGTCACAGCCGAATGGAATATTCTGTGGAAAGAATGGAGGATGTGCCGGGCACTGCAGGGCTCAGCTCTGTGTTCCCCAGGCTTCGTGGGACAGAGATGAAGCAGACCGGGGCCCCCACCACAGCACCCCAGTCAGCATCTTGCAATCTCCTGGGCCTCTGGGGACAGAGGAACAGAAAGGCCCTCTCTGATGGGGGCAGCACCAGCAGGGGAGGCACAGCCCAGGTGGATGCTGCTCTGAAGCAGCAGGAGAGGGGAGCTGGGGGAGCGAGTTCAGGCACAGGAAGATGCCCAGGTGCTGGGGAGCCCTAACCACACACACAGTGATGGGCCGTCAGGCGGGGTGTGAACTGGAGGCCCCAGATGTGTTGTTTGCCTGTGTGGTGCTGTAAATGTTAAGAAATTTCACGTAAAACTCAGAAGATCTGCAACACTGGGCCTGTATCCGCATGGACCAAGCCCGGGGAAAGGCGGATGTGGGCAGGGCTGGAGCTGAGCAGCCGCTGAGGGTCCAGGAGCCTCCCCATCCCTCCACTCCCTGGTCTTTCCTGCTGACAGCACCCTCCCTGGCCCCAGGGTAGCTGTTTTCAACCCCGCTTGGACCACGAGAGCCATGCGCGGTCACGTCCAGAGGGAACTTCTCCTGACCCACTCTAGCCCCGATTGTCCTGGAGGCATGTGCAGGTACAACACAGTCACCCAGGAGGCACCAGGGTCAAAGACACCATGAGCCTCCCGGAAACTCAGGTTTTCTGTCTGTTCATCGTCAATGTGGGACACTGGTCTGGTAAGAGACCCACCCTCCAGTGTGAACTGGACTCTAAACTGTGTCCCTCCCTCCAAGGTCCCCAAGTCCCTGTCTCCTCTGCGAAACCTCAGGAGTCCCGTTTGAGAAGAAAGGGGCCCGCAGACACCTGATTCTCACGCTCGGTTTATGCACAGGTGCCAGCCTGCAAGCCGGAGAGGCACGCAGAGAGGAAACTGCATTGCTGTTTCAAAACCCAAAGAAAAGAAAGTACTCTGAATTGCGTGGGGATCTGGAGTTAGGGCAGCTTGCCCCGAAACTGAACAGAAAGTGTTTTCACATCACCCCCTCGCCCCAGGTAGCACCCAGTCACGCGGCTCTCAGTGGAAAGCGCGGCACACGAAGCCAGGCCGGGACCCACAGCCCAGGTTCTGCATTTGGCATTTAGCAGCTGCGATGTCTCCGAGAACCCTGCAGAGACGGAGCCCACAGAGGAGGGTACAGCGTGGACCAGAAGCCACCAGAAGCCGGGCGAGGCGGCTGAGTTCAGTGCTGTCAGCCAGAGGCTGGGGAGGGAGCACCCTGGTGCCCGCGTCCCCGGTGAGTCTTGAACCCAGCATCTGAGCCTCCACCTCTCTTTCCTAAATAGGCAGGACCTGCCAGTGCACGCACAAGTTGCCCTCTATGAACCAGCAGCGCTGAGGTCACTGGTGCTGAGGCCATGGGACTCGTGGAGGTGTTCTGTCCATGGGAGAGAAGCCCTGAGCATCTGGGAGCCATGAGGAGGAATCTCCAGAGACAAACGGGAGAATTAACCAGAGGCCCCGCCCCATTATCATAACTCGGCTCCACTCACATGGCCCCGCCCTGTTCATTCACATGACCCCACATGACCCCACTCACATGGCCCCTCCCCACTCACATGACCCCACCCCACTTACATGACCCCACCCGTCACAGGGCTCCTCTTCATTCACATGACCCCACCCCAGTCACATGACCCCACCCCACTCACATGGCCCCTTCCCACTCACAAGACCCCACCCCACTCACATGACCCCGCCCCACTCACATGACCCCGCCCCACTCACAAGACCCCACCCCACTCACATGACCCCACCACACTCACATGGCCCTGCCCTGTTCATTCACATGACCCCACATGACCCCACTCACATGGTCCCTCCCCACTCACATGACCCCAACCGTCACAGGGCTCCTCTTCATTCACATGACCCCACCCCACTCACATGACCCCACCCCACTCACATGGCCCCTTCCCACTCACAAGACCCCACCCCACTCACATGACCCCGCCCCACTCACATGGCCCCACCCCACTCACAGGGACTCCACACCCTCTTACATGGCCCTGCCCCTGATGGTGAGAACCACAGTCCCTTCTCAGGCCCACTAACCCCATAACTCTTCTCCACCATCCTAGATGGTGGACTCACCCTTGATTCTCCAGGACATCCCCTGCAAAAGCTCCATCGCTACATGGGCAGGGCACGAGAGGCCACCCGACCTATAAGAACACAGCCTGAAGTCACATGTACTCCACACTCCAATCAGCTAAGGCTGTGGGTGGGGCCAGGAAGGTTCCGCCCAGGATAGTGCTGTGGGTGGAGCCTTGCAGTGATGGACACGCCCTCATCTCCGTGGCAACCAGCTTTCCTCCCACCTCTGCTCACTGCGCACCTGGCTCTCCTCTCACCTGGATGACGCAGCAGCCTCCACTCGTCTCCCGCACCGAGTCCCCGCAGAGCAGCAGGTCAACTTCTAAAGCGCGTCTCAGACCGCCTCTCCCTACAGAAGCCCCAGGGGCTCCCAGCCTCCGAGTACAACACAAACTCCTACCCACCTGCAAAGCCGGCGCCTCGTTTTCCTCCTGAGCTGCGGACACGAGACCCTCCCACTTCAGAAAAGAAAAACGGTGTCGCTGCCCTTCGTCTCTGTCTGTATAAGCGGACTCAGCACCAGGCGGTATTCGCGGGGGCTGCGGAGCTGCCTGGAGACCCCCGCCCAGCCACAGAAGGCTCTGGAAGGAGGTGGTCTCTGCTGAGGGCCTGGTTTTGCTGTCACCCCCTAGAATGCTGGAGTCTCGCCTCCTACAGGTCACGAGCCCGTGGTCACCCCACTCGGGTGTGACAGGTCCCCCAATGCTAAGCAGAGATGTGGCCCAGAAGGGCTCCAAGGACCCAGGGGGTGCCCAGGGAGTCTCTTCCCAGAGGGAGCATTTTCTCTCTGGGACAGGATGTTCATCTTCAGAACAGACCTGTACACGGACAGGCCTTTGCTTGTGGCTTCATCTCTGTGGAAATAGAAACCTCCGCATTGGATCGTCGTGGATGAGTGACACTCTCAATTGTCTGCAAATCTGTACACAGCAGGAGGTCCATGATTGCCCTGGTTAAGAATTCCAGCAATTAAACTGCAAAGGCAACCTTCATGCATTAATATGTGTGGTAAAAATTCACAATAACAGTTTAGAAAATATTTGGCAACTGTCAACCCACTTAAAATATTTTCACATTATTGCCTTTGCAGGGCACAATGCTGAGTACAAAATGCGATACTAGAAGCACTTCTGGGATAGCAGAGTAAAGGCTTCCAAAATTCTCTCCCTCCATAAAAGCAATCAGAATACTGGAATAAATGTCAAAAGGACTGTTTCAGACCTCCGAAAACTAGCTAAAGGCTTGCAATAATCTGAAGAGCATTTATTCAAAATAATAATAATGGCCGGGCCTGGTGGCTCATGCCTGTAATCCCAGCACTTTGGGAGGCCAAGGGGAGAGGAGCACTTGAGTCCAGGAGTTCTAGACCAGCCTGAGCAACATGGCAAGACCCCATCTCTACCAAAATAAAAAAAATAAATAAATGTTTTTAATTAGCCAGGCATGGTGGCGCACACCTGTGGTCCCACCTACTTGGGAGGCTGAGGTAGGAGGATCGCTTGAGCCCAGGAGGTCGAGGCTGCAGTGAGCTGTGATTGTGCCACTGCACTCTAGGCAATAGGGTGAATCCGTTTCTCAAAATGATAGCAATGGCTGAATCTTGGTAAGAAAAGCAAATTGTGTGGCATTTTAATTTGCCCAATTTCAGTCCTCTTCTCCCAGCCCCACAGTAGTCTTAAAAAACAAGGAGAGGCTATAAAAAGCCAGCAGGCTGGCAGCCCCTGGAGGAACACAGAGGATCGGAACTCTCCACAAGGCCCATTCCCAGTGAATCGCTGTCCTCGGACCACCATGACCGCTCCCTGAGGAGCTGTGCTCTCACTGAAGAACTTTCTCCTCGCTACTTGACCTCATGAGAGCTTGCTCTGTGCACCAGCCCTACCTATCCTAGGATATTTGTCCTAAAAAATCAGTGGGGATTGTTTATTACTGTAGTAGCCTGAAGCAGCAATACAAGTTGAAGCTGAGAAGAGGCTGGCCAAAAAAAATTAAAAGGAATTATTGTGGAATGACATGTTCTTATAAAGCTTTGAAAAGCTCCGATATATTCCTGAGAACTTAGAAGGCCAGGTGCACATGCAGGGCTGTGTGTCCTCTGGGAGAGAACTAAGAGGGCCCCTGCTCACCTGGGCTGACTGGGATGCTCCCTGCCAGCGTGGGCAACAGCTAAGGCAGAGCTGTAAGCTGTCTGCCAGGATGGTGAAGGCATTCCCCAACACACACCCACACAGCCCTCAGCAAAGTCCGAGAAAATTCTCATTTCAAGGAATTTGAGGAAATCTCTGTTCAGTCATTATCTGACCACTAAGCTAACCAAGTACATGTCCGTGTCTTCACAAAAAAAAGAAAGCAGACTGTATAGAATTAGTCCAGGGAAGTCTAAAGCAAGAAAACAATGACAGCAATAAACAGTTCAAGAAACAAACACTGGAGGGGTGGGAACTGATGTCCAGAAAAAGATTATATTAATTACATATATAATTTATATAATTTATTTTTTGAGACAAAGTCTCTCTCACTCTGTCACCCAGGCTGGAGTGCAGTGTCACAATCTTGGCTCACTGCAACCTCCGCCTCCAGGGTTCAAGCGATTCTCCTGCCTCAGCCTCCTCAGTAGCTGCGATTACAGGCGTGCACCACCATGCCCAGCTAATTTTTGTATTTTTAGTAGAGACAGGGTTTCACCATGTTGGCCAGGATGGTCTTGAACTCCTGACCTCAAGTGATCTGTCCGCCTCAGCCTCCCAAAGTGCTGGGACTACAGGCGTGAGCCACCGCGCCCGGCCAGAAAATCTTGATAAACATGAACAAAGGTGGAAGACTCACACTTCGCTGTGTGGAAACTAACTACACAGTTGTAATAAAACCGTGCGGTACTGCCATAAGGACAGACATATAGATCTGTAGACTAGAATTGAGAGACCAAAAATAAACCCTAGCATCTATGGTCAGTTGGTTTTCAACAAAAGTACCAATACAATTAAATGGAAAAAGAATTGTCTCTTCAAAAAGTCATATTGAAACAATTAGACATCCACATGCAGAAAAATGAATTTGGACCCCTACCTCCCATTATACATAATATAGCTTAAAATTCATTAGACCTAAATGTAACAGCTAAAACTATAAAAGTGTTAGAATAAAACACAGGAGGAATCCTTGTGATACAACTTTTCTGGATTGTGATTCTGGTGGTCACAGGATCTACACATGTGATTAAAATGCACAGAAATGAGTGCATATAAAGCCAGAAATTTGAAGAAGGTGGTGGACTCCATCATTGTAAACGTCCTGGCTGTCATGTACTATAGTCGTATATGATGTTACCCTTGGAGGAAACTGGGGGAGGTGTATTGGGGATCTCGCTGTATTCTTTCTGACAACTGCGTGTGAATATTCAATTATCTTAAAATAAGTCTCAATACACACACAATATATCACACCAATATATAATGTAATTCCTAATATCGTGTTTGTCTAATTTTTACACCTTCACTTTGATACATTGTGCTCCCCTTATCCTTCCAATAAACTACCTTTCTGCTTATGAGAACAAGTCAGCGTCTGTTGCTGGCATCCAAATGTCCCTAACACCCCCTCACAGGCTGCTAGAAGCCTCCACTGAGATCATGTGTGTGAGCCCCTTGATGGTTCCTAATGATGGCAATAGTTAACCTTTTCCATGCACCTGCCCTGCGCCTGGTCCTGCTCTGTTTTACATGAGCGAAGTCATTCAATTGCTCAGCCCTTGCCAGCTGCGCACACTCTTGCCCCACTTTACAAATGAAGCCACGAAGCCACATGGTGGTTGGAGGACTCACGGCAAGTGACGGAGCTGGGAAGGGGCCAATTCAGGACTCAGGTCAAGACATCCTGGTTCCAGAGCCCCACCGTGACCCACCATGTTACTCAGCACAGGTGAGTTACACTGATCTTTATCTGTCTTTTCATGCCCTGGAGATGGAATTTTTCTAGAATGGCCACTGGCTCCCCCGCCTGGTACATCATGGACTCGTAGTGCATGGCCCTGCCCTCAGATGCCTGTGACGTCAGAGATGGAGGATGGGCCTGCTGGGACCCCCGGCTCTGTCAGCTCCAGGAGCCTCGGGGTCGGGGGGACGATCCACAGGAATCCACGAGCCTCCCAGAACATGGAAGGCCATGGCCCCAGAGCATCCAAATTCCATCTAATGGCATTTTTCAGGAGTAAAGAAAGAGGCAGAACAGAAAATCCATATAGCTGCTGTGCCCGGAATGAACACGTTTTCATCAGAAGAGCAATCTCCCCTATCTCAGGGCTGAAGTCAGGCAACAAAATCAATATCTGAAAACACCTACGAAAGTGTTAGAGCTTTTCAGTTTGGCTCCTGGGCCATTGCTAGTTGAAATTCCATCTAGCATACAGAGTTTGAGGGCTTTTTTCCCCTTTGTTCTTTTTGTCATTAAATTAGCCAAAGCGTTAAGTCCATGGGACCCAATCTATCGGTGTTTATTTTCTTTATTCAGTCAAAACTGACCTCTACTCAATTTACATTTACAAGATATACAAAGAAATTAATAAGATGGGAAAGAACCCATTGCTAATGCGAGAATGTCTCTACGCGTAAAGAGAAGCAGATTCCCCTGCGGCTTCCAGCCAGAGGCAGGTTTTAAGAGTAAAGTTATTAGACGGCTAGCAGCTGGCTTTCTCTAAGCAATGTCAACAAGAGGCAGCCTCCAGAGACACGCGTGCTACAGAAATGTCTGTCAATAGCAATCAGATAACAACTCTTGACCTAAATATTTACCCAACAGCCTCAGCCACATGGTCCTTTTTCACACTGGAAAAGTCACAACACCAATACCTAGAGTGGCCAAGGCCATCCTACTGTAAGCCTTCCCTCCCCGCCCCTCTGTCTGGTGGGTAAGATGAACTTTCTTTCATTTCTGGTAGAATATCTGAGATTATGGTCTGTCTAATGTTGGGCCAGAGGCAGAGAAAAAACCCAAATGCCCAGAGTTGACCGTTCAAGCCCCACCCAAGAGACACAAGCGTGCATCATCAAACCCAGCAACACGAGTTTCCAGAACAGAGCAGGCTGAGGTGTGCAGCCACTCAAGCCACTGGCCCCAGCGCCTGTCCGGGGCTCCATCTCCATGGGAGACTGAAAGCAGCGCCGGGTCCTGGTGCTGTGTGTCATCCTCATGCAGCTAGAGGTGCAGAAGCTCGGCACTGGGTGTACTGAGGTGGCCGAGCCGTGGATATAGTCCGGAGAGCTTTGTCATATGGGAGAGTTGGCAAATGGAGTTATTGATCTTTAGACATGACACAAACAGCCGGGGAAAATGAGCTTGCTCCTCAGCCACAAGGGGCTCAGAGGGGAAGAACCTTGGGAACAGCAAAGGGGCAGCCAGGCACACAAAGGTCATGACACCCAGGGAGGTCCATGAGCCTCTGCGAGGGAGGTGGGGAGGCTGGGCCCCAGGCATCCCTGCTGGCTGTTTTCTGTGCACGCTGACCTGGCCCCCAGCTGACTGCTGTTCCTGGTTCTCTAATTAAAGGGTCAAGCTGCCGAGCCGCTGCTCTTTGCATGGGGAGAGGGATCCTGAATGGCAGGCCCATCAGCGCCTGTCCTAGCAGCATCAGACGACTCCCGACTGCAGGGGCCGCGGCGTCGTGGGTGGGACGGTGGTTTGTTACACGCATTCCCCCTGCTCTCCCTGTGGGCTGAGGGCTGCCATGGAAATGGGACCTGTAGCCCCACCCCCAGGAGGGTGTCTGGTAGATAGCAGACCTTCAATCACTATTGAGCAAGATTCGTGGATAAAGAATAAACAAAATGTAGATGGTCAGTAAATGTTTGTTGAAAGATACACTACTTTCTTACACAAATGGACACCATGATATATGTTCTATTCACTCTTTGTGTCTGCCTTCTTTCTTAAACATTTTATTTAGAAGCAATTATCTTTCTCGTTCCTCTCTTTCTCCATTACTGCCTTCTTTTGTATTAAATGGGTATTTTTTTTAGTGTACCACTTTCATTCTGTTTATTTTACCATGGTTTTTGTGACTTTCTTACTGGTTGTCCCTGGAACTTCTCAGGTGAGGTGGGTGAGTGTCCCAGCAAGGGAAGGTTTCCACCTGTGTTATCAAATCACCTGGAGCAGGAACTGAGGGTTTGTGGGGACATCCACTTACAGCTGTATTTGGAAACATGAGGGCTTGTTTCCAAATACGGCTGTAAGTGGATGTCCCCACAAACCCTCAGTTCCTTGCCCTTATTTACTGATAAAAACAAACACACACTCGCTCTCTCACACACACTAACAGCCGAGGAATCACATCTTTAAACACACCTGGCCTCTGGCAGGGGCCTTCCCTGCACTCTGACCCCCTCTCTCCCATCACAGACTCCAGCCTGGTCTCAAAAGGGACCCAGAGCCTGGGTGCCTCTCACCTGAGATCCGTACAAGGGAAGCTGCCCAACCCAGGACAGATCCACATCAGGAAACACAGACAGTGACAGGCAAGGGTCTGTCTCTGATGCCTCCTCCCACGGGACAGGGGTGACTCCAGTTCTGGCTCCAGAGGGAGCTGGGCTCTGGCACCGCACACCAGCCTCAATCAGCGGCTGCAGCACACGGAGCCGGGAGTCCACATGGAGCACATCTGAACGGCCCTTCCCAAAGCTGCCCCTGTGGCCCCCGTGAGGGCTCAACTGTGGATGACAAAGGAAAAGTCTGTTACTGCAGGACCTGAGCCTTCTCCGTGACTGTTTTTCAGACAAGGTTCACTCTGGTTCAGAAATCAAATCAGGCACGAGCAACACCAGCAGGTGTGCTTTCTCTCTGATCAATCACGTCCCAAGCCACGCTGTCACGCTGCTTTCTCCCCTCTACTGAGCCACCCACCTGGTGCAGAAAAAAAATCAAAACCCCGACATCACTTTCTAACCATAAAGCAGATCGCAGGACAGCACCTAGTACTCCGGAACCGGAGGCAAATCTGTCGAGAAAGAGCTTCTGAGAGTGGAGGAGTGGGTGGACGAGGCTGGGGGAACAGAGATGACTTCCAATCCAGACCTTCTGTCCTGCCCAGCAGGCCTGTCCACCGGCACACCAGCTGGAGATGAGAAGGAGGAAAGCTCAGGCCACGGTGCTTACAAGGGCCAGCTGAACACTTGAGGACTAACTGGTTCTCCAAGAAAATCCTCTCTCCTTTTGTTTCTAATGCAAGAGACGAATGCAAGAAACATTAGGATTTGCTTGATTCATTCAAGTAGCACCAATTGTTATTCTATGGAAAACTATAGGGACCTCGTGTTTTTATTGTCTCTCCCCACTAGAAGATGGATTTTTTTAAGTGTGAGGTCCATTACACTACGATATTTCATAAAATACATACTGATGCACCATGGGCCGTGCAGCAAATCTCCTCCATTCTCAAACAGAAGGCCATGCTTCCTTTTCCTGCATCCACAGATGAAGTCATCACCAGGCAGCCTATGCACTAGGTGTGACCGCAGATGCACTCAGGGCACAGGTAGCATTTGATGCCTGTAACCAGGGTCCAGCTGAGTCCCCAGGAAACCATCTCTAACAAGAGTACAGTTTGCAAATAAAAGACACTGGCAGCCTAAAGGGGGTACACTGAGCACTCCATGCAGTCAAGTGACATTCAGTTTATTTTTTATTTTATTGTTATTTTATTTTAATTTGGGATTCAATGTCTTTAGCAGGTCATCCACATGTCCTTGCCACCCTCCCTATTGTGCTCACCTGCCCCTCTTTCCCTTAATTTCTGTTTCCTGCCTGGCCCCTGGAGACATCTGAATCTTCACCCCTTTTAGATGTGCACAAACAGATACATATACATAAAGAACTGGAAAAGACTCAGAACTGGCAAAGGCTCAGGAAGTCCAACTCAGAAAGCACAAATCAGGGGGAAAAAATAGAACTGAAAGCCCATGTACAAGCTCCATAACTACCTTCTATCCATTTCTCCATCTACCGGTCATCCATCCATCATCCATTCACCCGTTTGTCCATCCACCCACCTATTCATCCACCTGTCCATCCATCCATCCATCCATCCACCCATCCATTCATCCATACACCCATACATCCATTTATTCATCCACTCATGCATCCACCCACCCATCCATCTGTCCATCTATCCATCCACCCATCCATTCATCCATCCATCCATCCATTCATCCATCCACCCATACATCCACCCACCCACTCATCCAAACATCCATCTATCCATCCCCTATCCATCCATCCATTCATCTATCAATTCATCCATCCATTCATCCACCATCTACCCATCCATTCACCCATCCATCCATCCATCCACCCATCCAACCATTCATTCATCCATCCATCTACCCATGCATCCATCCATCCACCCACCCACTCACCATCCACCCACCCATCCATCCATCCATCTGTCCATTCTTCAGTTACTGAGCCACTGCTATGTCCCAGCAGCATTCCAAACCCTGGTGATGCACCAGAAACAAAAGGGACAAACATCCACCCTCCTAGAGATATTCTTCTCATAGGAAGGCGGCCCCTGTGGAATTATGAAAAGGACAGGTCAGACAGACCTAGGAGGCAGGTTCCAGCTCAGCAATGCATTAGCTCTGTGACCTTGGACATGAAGCTCAACGTCTCTGAACTTGATTTACTCGTGTGGAAACAACAGGACCCACTTTGTAGGGTTGTGTTAACATAATATTATCTCATCTGACTGTGGAGTGAATGATGCCACCTCAACATATTAACTCAACTTCCTGCCCTTACCTGCCCAGGGCTGTGTCCCTTCCTCCTCCAAGCACTCTCCCGCCCAGGTTCAGCATTGCAGCTGGAGGAAATGCAGCTGGCTGTCTCCCACCTCTGCCATTACACTAGGACTGTATTATTCTGTTGAGCTGGATTCCGTTTCTGCACACAGAGCTGACCACCAAGTAAGTAAGCGAAGGGGCAGCAGGTAACAGATTGCTACTGATTCCAAGAGGACTCGTGTCTAAAGTTCTCAAGAGGCCAGGCTGGATGTGGCACGGGCCCTCCTCCCTCCCTCTCCTCAGGACATAATTCCACCCCAGGTCACTGGAGGAAGCAGCCCCAGGGTCTTTTGGGGACCGTGGGCACCACACTGAGAGGGCGGGGCTCCTCACCATGGGTCCAGACATTTCAAGTCTATTTATAATTACACCTCTGACCTGCAAGATTTGGTCTGAGGCCTGCAATAGTTGGGGCTGGAGGAGGAAGAATATCACGACATGGACAGCTCTGAGCTCTTTCATGAGGTTGAGCCTCACGGGGGTGTCCAGGTCCCAATAGCAAACGTTCCGTTAGAGGATGGAAATGTTCCATAAAAGGCATCCTAGGAGGAGGGGACTTCAAGACTCTGCCCACTCTATCCAGGTAACATGGATTGGCGGACTGAGCCTCCAAGATCCCAGAAGACACATCCCATGAGCTCAGCCCAAGGGTCAAGCAGAAGAATGGTTGAGATGGGCCCTGAGCATCCAGGGAATGAGCGGGCAGCAAGATCATTAGTGATTTTATATCCCACATCCCAAAGTTGTCCTCCAAAGAAAGCAGCAGTGGCTTTTTATAAAAGCAATTAGCAGGAAGAGGGGAATAGACCTAGATGGGAGGAACCTCAAGATCCTTGCCAGGGAGTGATGAGGTTGGCCATGGAATAAGAACCAAACTCCAGCATTTCTGCCCTAGTGCTTGTGGGAACTGCCGACCCCATGAGCTCTGATTGACGAGCAGCGTGTCCCGGGTCGACCTCACTGATGAGCACACTGCACTCAGCTGTCCGGGGGGCATGGTTCATATCCCTTCCGCCCACAGCAGACAGGTGTAAGGATTCCAGAGGCCAGCCCACCTTCCCCTTCCTTGGTGTGTCTACCTCCTGAGGGACAGGTGGGTGAGGTGGAAGAGGGGCCAACAAGGAGACATCTGCTGTTCTCCAGGCAGGGGTGGGGGTCTGAGCTCGGAGCTGGTGGAGGGGGTGGGAGAGACGGACGCACTCTTGTTCTAATATTCGATCTTGGCACCGCGTCTATCTGGACTTAGTGGCCACCTGAGCCGTCCCCTCCACCCTGTCCATCTTGGAGATCAGTCCCCTTCCAAGATTTCTGTGATCCAAAAGTATTCCTCAATCCGCTAGACTGCTCAGATGCATGCCATCCACTTCTACAAGCCTCAAAACGAAGTCTTCACACAGGTTAGTGGCTGAGAAACAGATGCAGTGCAGGTCTGCAGACTCTGGCTGTCGTGGGTCGAGCATGGCCAGCTCTACGGTGAGCTCCTCAACTCAGAGTTACTCACACCCTGCTACCCAAAGATCATCTCTCCTCATTTCATCCCATACGTCAGTTGGACAGCATGGGCAATCCAGCTTCTACCAGTGTTATTCTCCCTCCCTGGCGTCTTGACCCTCGCCGTGCAGTGACTGTCCACACACAGGAGCCCACATAGGGTTGAGCTGTGACCAGTTCCCCACCCAGGACAGTCAGGCTGGGCCCCTCTCCTCCTGGAGCCACAGCTGCATCCATGCCCCGCTTGCTTCCTGAGGCACATGCTTTGATTTTATTAGGAAACAAGTATCCCAAGTGCAGCCTGGGTGGGAGCCCAGGAGGCAGTCACTCCAGCCAGTGTCATCCAGGGCCCCCACGGCCCTGGGTCAGAGTCTCGCCTCCACCATTCAGAAGCTTCGTTGGCCGCCACCCTCAGGCCTTCTCTAGACTCTTCTCTCCCAGGGCCTCTTGCCCCTAGAACAGGTGGGTTACAAATCATTTAGGCTGGGTACGGTGGCTCATGCCTGTAATCCCAACACTTTGGGAGGCCAAGGTGGGTAGATCACAAGGTCAGGAGATCGAGACCAGCCTGGCCAACGCGGTGAAACCCTGTCTCTACTAAAAATACAAAAATTAGCTGGGCATGGTGGTGGGCGCCTGTAGTCCCAGCTACTTGGGAGGCTGAGGCAGGAGAATTGCTGGATCCCGATGGGCGGAGGTTGTAGTGAGGCGAGATCGCGCCACTGCACTCCAGCCTGGCAAGACAGTGAGACTCCATCTCAAAAAATAAATAAATAAAAAATAATAATCATTCAGTCTGAATTCCTCCAGAGTCTTCTGCACACTGCACTCTCACGTGCTATTCACACTCCATGTGCAAAGAAAGCAGCTGAGCGAGGCGGCTCCGGAAAGACCCTCCCAGCCTTCCTATGCGGACTCCTCCCCACACCAGGACTCCTGGGGGCTGGTTCTGGGCACCAGCCTCGATGAGGACGTTCTTACAGCAGTGAAGGGATGGGCAGTGGCCCCAGCACCAACATTCCTAGGTACCCATTCCCAAGGCCACTTCTCAGGAGACGCAGCTTTCTACAGCCAGAAAAAAAAAAAAAAAACCTTCCTTCTAGTTTATTAAACTGCTTTATAGGCTCTAACCCATGACCAAAGGAGTTTAGGATCAATATAGGTAAATTATGAATCTGCCTCTCTCTTTTTCTTTCTCCCAATCTTCTGTCTTTCTCTCAAATGGCCTTCAAATGGGAAAAAATACTGCTTTAATAACACAAAGTCCACAACAGGCCTCCCTAATACGTCTCCTTGGAGGGAGGATTAGCAGGTAATCACACTTACAACTAGAGGCACAGCCCCTGCGGGGGCGATATCAGCACCTCCCAGGGTGCATCATAGTCTTACTTCTGTACTGTCTCCATTCCTATCAGAAGGCTGATAGGTTTCAGCTGCTGTGAAATGTTGATCCACATCACAGCCTGGCTCTAGGGCTGTCCAGGGTAAGATACACGTGTGGGGCTCTCACACTTCCCAGAGCTCATTCCCCATGGAAGACAGCCAGTTCCACCCGGGGTGGGGAGCGGGATTCTAGGAGCTACCCACTCATGGCCAGGGCTGCCTGGGGAGGTGACAGTCGGCACGTCCCATCCCTGGCTTCCTTTGGTCCAGAACTGCCCCTTCCAGGTTCCATGCGAGTTCATAAATGGAAGAGTTGAGCCCAGACTCCCCAGGTCCTGAATCTCAGGAAGATGCTTTTCTTACACCCACTGAGCACACGAACTCCTTCCCCTCCGTTTCCCCTTTCTCTTTAAGGGGGACGTTTTCAATGCAACCCCCAAACCAATAAGACCCTCTGGGCCCCAAGATCAGACAAACATTTCCAGGACCCGGAATGGAGAGCCAGAGGGAAGCCTCCTGGCGGGGACTCTGGTCCAGACAGGCTGTGGGCTCCTTTGGGGAGGTGGCCCCCGAGGGTCATGAGACCTATGGGCAGCTTTGGGAGTTGGCCCCCCAGGGCTGCAGGAGCAGCGCCAGCCTGGGGCGAGCTGTGAACACAGAAGACCCTCAACGCCACCTATAGCCACGAAAATGCTAAGTAAACCTTCACAGGATGCTATGTCACACCGAAATTTAAAATCTGATGCGGTGCTGTGATGCAGAGCCACCCTGACTCCTCGTGCTGCTGGTGTGGGTGTGGCCACTCTGGAGAGTGACACGGCAGACACCGGCCATCCTGATGCGTGGTCCTGTCCCCAGCCACGCGCCCAGGCGGGCACCTGGGAAACTCACATGTGTACACAGAGACACACCGGTGGGATTATGGCAGCTTTGTTTATAGCAGCAAAAATAAAAATGAAATATTTGAAACTAGCCAAATACCTACCAGGAAGAAAACTACTCAATTAACGTAGAAAATACATATAATTAAATGCTACCCCTTTGGGGGAAATTTGTTTTTGAGACTTACCCATGTGAGTGTATGAAGCTGTACTTTATTCATTTTAGCTGTTGTTATTGAGAGTTAAAACCAAAAAAGCAACTTTCTACATGGTTTATATAGACACTCATATACCGCAGAAGCGTAAGCACTTGCAAAGGAAAGACAGACACCAAATTCAAGGTAGGAGTTACATCTGGTTGGAAAAACTGAGGCAGAAGCAGAGAAGGCTTCAACTCTGCCCGAATACCGCATCTCATCAGAACACATCTCTGACGCTATCACGCTGGCCATGCTGATGGCTTCATCAGTGTATGCAAATGTCTAAACACATCAAACTGCAGATGTTAAAAACATGCAGGTTTGTGTCTATCAACCATACCTCAAGAATGCTGTTAAAATTGTGTCTGAAGGAAACATGGCCAGATGTAAATGTTTACTGGGAAAGGTAGTTGGTACGAGGCATCTGTTAGGATTCTCCGGGCTCCCTCCTAGAGGCCCCACCTTCAGAGCTGCCTGTTGCCCTGAAAGAGCTTGGGAGACCACAAGCATCTCATCAGTCACGCCCATAAAGCAGGGAAGGGGGCTACATGGTGGAAGGCCCCTGTCTGGCTGCTCAGCATCTCTGCACCCGGCGATTCCTCTCCCACTCCCCCCGGCTCCCCACTGAGCAGATTCCCCATCACCGGGTCTGAGCCAGCCGGGCCACTCCTCTCTGGCCCCTGTGTTCTGGCAGTGGCACCGTCAGGGTAGGTGAGATGCAGCGAGGCTCAGGCTGGGGAAGCACGACAGAATCTTGAACCTCCCGTTCGGGATGAGGAAGGGGTGGCCAGGGGCGGCGGGGGCCACCTTGTTCTGACAGTGGCACAGTGCGGTGGATCAGAGCTGAGAGGGGGCTTCCAGATGCGCCACGTCAGCCCTGACCAACCCATGCCTGCTGGGTTAGAGAACCCGTGAAATCGCCTTTGTGTATCATGAAGTTTGGGTCAGATTTGCTGTCACTTGCGGTCAATATTGTCCTGACTGATGCACATAGAAAGAGGAGAAAGCAGGGAGGAAATGGACTGGACGTCAACACCCTCCCCAGGATCCCAAGGAAGAGAAGCCCGTGCCAGCCTTGGCGGAGGCAGGTGCCTGGCTGCAGACCTCCAGCAGAGCCCTGGAAGCTGCATGTAATTCCTCCGTGAATGTGAAGCAACAGCCCTCAGGGAGAACAGAGTTCTTGCCCCAGTTGGAAGCTGTGCCAGTTACAGAAGAAGAGCTCGCCCTGGGGACCAAGTTCAGGAACAGATGAGAAGACGAGAGAAGCAATGGCAACATGGCCAAAAGGTCAGGGTGAAATGGCAGGAAGCTGGCAGGTCCCCACCCACACCAGCCTCAGGACAGGGCCCTGAACAGGGCGGGACTCGGTGCAGGGGGTCTCACAGCTGAAGCCCTGCTCCACCCCTCAGACATCAGAGCCCATCTGGATCCTGAATAAGCAGCCATAAAGGAGGCTGGTGCTGTCAGAGGCGGAAAGCAAGCCCCTGTCTCGGGGGGGTAGCTCACAGAGCCCAGTGTTCCTGGCCAGAGCTTTTTCCAACGTGCGGTGCACCAGCAACCCCCGCTCAGCTCTGCTACTGTGAGCCCCTTCTCTCCAGGTCGTTTGTCTTTTCTGCTCTGATAAAGGAGTGTCCTGTGCAGAGCCCAGGAGCTGGAGGTTTTCAGGTCAGAATTTGCCCTGCAGGGTTATAAAAGACGTGATTTCTGAAGCACCAGGAGGAGATCTCAACATAAACCATTTCATCCGAAAAGTGAGAGGAATATAAGAGCTTAGAAGGATCCTGTCTCAAAACAAGTTTGAGTTCTTGTAAATCTGAGCCTCAATCCATTGTCCTCAAAAAGAGAATGTCCATTCCTTCTCCGAACAGTCACCTATTAGCTGAAAAATATTAAGAGAACTCCAGGAAATCTGAAACCCACAGCTGTTACCAACACTGCCTGACTTGTTTACACAGAGGATTTTCAATGGAAACTGTCTGTTTAAATGTAACTGCCCAAATCATATTCCAAATTGAATAATGTAAAAAAAAAATGAAGTGAAGCCTACAGTATCTGGAGTTGACGGCAAACAAGGTGGGGTGGGTGGATCCGGGCACTGCTCAGAAGGCCCAGCGCAGGCTGGCCCTGCTCGCACGCAGACCTGAGGGACCTGAGCACACCAAGGCTCTTCCCATTTAGAGTTGGGGACTTCAGTCATGTAGTGGGTCACCAAAGGCCACAGGGTGGGGGGAGCACTGTCCAGCTGGGACAGACAGTGGTTCCTGCACAGACTCACAGCATCAGCAGCCAATGAGTGATCTGAACACTTGGACAAGTGGGCCACCCCACTTTTCAGAGGGACAGGACAGACCTGGGGCAGAGGAGCACCTCCCTGGGTCACACCTGGGGCAGCAGCAGCCTCAAGTGGCCACAGACTCAGTCCCGCTTCTCCAGGCTCTGGGCTTTGGGCAGAGCCCCGTGCTCACACCTCCCATGCTGTCCCCAACCTGGAGCAGGCATTGTCCACACTGACCCCAACACCCAGAGGGTTTCAGCCTACGCAGGCAGGGCACAGTGACTGCGGTGTTCACAGACATAATCCAAGCAGAGAGGCTCAGTGCCCACAGACACCAGGGGATAAATGAATGGTCAGACAGATGGCAGGGCAGGAACGCCATCTCTGAGATGCAGGGGAAGAGAGTAAACAACAGCAATAAAAAGACAGCGTGGGTTATAAAAGAACCAGGGCTGGGAGGCAAAGAGGAATTCTAACACACGGCTTCCCCGTGCCACCTGCCACCTGCCCTGGGCTCAGCGCACACAGGCCCCCCTGTTGCTGTGAAGACGCTGATCTAAGAGGACAGGGGAAGACCAAGGACTCCACGCTGCTGGGTCATTTTAACCCCTCCACACAGGCCTGGTGACCGTCCCCGTGTCTCAACAGTCGGAGCAAAATGCACAGAGGAAAGGGGTCAAATCCCCAAAAGATGCAGTGAGTAAGACCCACTGCAGTGAGTGAGAGCCAGTGCAGTGAATTAGACCCGGTGCAGTGAGTGAGACCTGCTGCAGTGAGTGAGACCTGCTGCAGTGAGTGAGAGCCGGTGCAGTGAGTAAGACCTGCTGCAGTTGAATAAGACCTGGTGTAGTAAGACCCGCTGCAGTGAGTGTGACCCGATGCAGTAAGACCCAGTGCAGTGAGTGAGAGCCGGTGCAGTGAATTAGACCGAGTGCAGTGAGTGAGACCTGCTGCAGTGAGTGAGAGCCAGTGCAGTGAATTAGACCCGGTGCAGTGAGTCAGAACTGCTGCAGTTGAGTAAGACCTGGTGTAGTAAGACCCACTGCAGTGAGTATGACCAGATGCGGTAAGACCCAGTGCAGTGAGTACGACCCGGTGTAGTAAGAACGGGTGCAGTGACTATGACCTGGTGTAGTAAGACCCAGTGCAGTATGACCCAGTGTAGTAACACCCGGTGCAGTGAGTCTGACCCAGTGTAGTAAGACCCAGTGCAGTAAGTATGACCTGGTGTAGTAACACCCAGTGCAGTGAGTATGAACCTTTGTAGTAAGACCCGGTGCAGTGAGTGTGACCCGGCGTAGTAAGACCCGGTACACTGACTATGACCTGGTGTAGTAAGACCCAGTGCAGTGAGTGTGACCCAGCGTAGTAAGACCCGGTACACTGACTATGACCTGGTGTAGTAAGACCCAGTGCAGTGAGTGTGACCCGGTGTAGTAAGACCCAGTGCAGTGAGTGTGACCCGGTGTAGTCAGACCAGGTGCAGTGAGTGTGACCCAGTATAAGACCAGGTGCAGTGAGTGTGACCCGGTGTAGTCAGACCCGGTGCAGTGAGTGTGACCCGGTGTAGTCAGACCCGGTGCAGTGAGTGTGACCCGGCGTAGTAAGACCCGGTGCAGTGAGTGTGACCCGGTGTAGTCAGACCAGGTGCAGTGAGTGTGACCCGGTGCAGTAAGACCCGGTGCAGTGAGTGTGACCCGGCGTAGTAAGACCCGGTGCAGTGAGTGTGACCCGGTGTAGTAAGACCCGGTGCAGTGAGTGTGACCCGGTGTAGTCAGACCAGGTGCAGTGAGTGTGACCCAGTATAAGACCAGGTGCAGTGAGTGTGACCCGGTGCAGTAAGACCCGGTGCAGTGAGTGTGACCCGGTGTAGTAAGACCCGGTGCAGTGAGTGTGACCCAGTGTAGTCAGACCAGGTGCAGTGAGTGTGACCCAGTATAAGACCAGGTGCAGTGAGTGTGACCTGGTGTAGTCAGACCTGGTGCAGTGAGTGTGACCCGGCGTAGTAAGACCCGGTGCAGTGAGTGTGACCCGGCGTAGTCAGACCCGGTGCAGTGAGTGTGACCCGGCGTAGTAACACCCGGTGCAGTGAGTGTGACCCGGTGTAGTCAGACCAGGTGCAGTGAGTGTGACCCGGTGCAGTAAGACCCGGTGCAGTGAGTGTGACCCGGCGTAGTAAGACCCGGTGCGGTGAGTGTGACCCGGTGTAGTCAGACCAGGTGCAGTGAGTGTGACCCGGTGCAGTAAGACCCGGTGCAGTGAGTGTGACCCGGCGTAGTAAGACCCGGTGCAGTGAGTGTGACCCGGTGTAGTAAGACCCGGTGCAGTGAGTGTGACCCGGTGTAGTCAGACCAGGTGCAGTGAGTGTGACCCGGTGTAGTAAGACCCGGTGCAGTGAGCGTGACCCAGTGTAGTCAGACCAGGTGCAGTGAGTGTGACCCAGTATAAGACCAGGTGCAGTGAGTGTGACCTGGTGTAGTCAGACCCGGTGCAGTGAGTGTGACCCGGCGTAGTAAGACCCGGTGCAGTGAGTGTGACCCGGCGTAGTCAGACCCGGTGCAGTGAGTGTGACCCGGCGTAGTCAGACCCGGTGCAGTGAGTGTGACCCGGCGTAGTAAGACCCGGTGCAGTGAGTGTGACCCGGCGCAGTAAGACCCGGTGCAGTGAGTGTGACCCGGCGTAGTAAGACCCGGTGCAGTGAGTGTGACCCGGCGTAGTAAGACCCGGTGCAGTGAGTGTGACCCAGTGTAGTCAGACCCGGTGCAGTGAGTGTGACCCGGTGTAGTAAGACCCGGTGCAGTGAGTGTGACCCGGCGTAGTAACACCAGGTGCAGTGAGTGTGACCCAGTATAAGACCAGGTGCAGTGAGTGTGACCTGGTGTAGTCAGACCCGGTGCAGTGAGTGTGACCCGGCGTAGTAAGACCCGGTGCAGTGAGTGTGACCCGGTGTAGTCAGACCCGGTGCAGTGAGTGTGACCCGGCGTAGTAAGACCCGGTGCAGTGAGTGTGACCCGGTGTAGTCAGACCAGGTGCAGTGAGTGTGACCCAGTATAAGACCAGGTGCAGTGAGTGTGACCCGGTGCAGTAAGACCCGGTGCAGTGAGTGTGACCCGGTGTAGTAAGACCCGGTGCAGTGAGTGTGACCCAGTGTAGTCAGACCAGGTGCAGTGAGTGTGACCCAGTATAAGACCAGGTGCAGTGAGTGTGACCTGGTGTAGTCAGACCTGGTGCAGTGAGTGTGACCCGGCGTAGTAAGGCCCGGTGCAGTGAGTGTGACCCGGTGTAGTCAGACCCGGTGCAGTGAGTGTGACCCGGCGTAGTAAGACCCGGTGCAGTGAGTGTGACCCGGTGTAGTCAGACCAGGTGCAGTGAGTGTGACCCGGTGCAGTAAGACCCGGTGCAGTGAGTGTGACCCGGCGTAGTAAGACCCGGTGCAGTGAGTGTGACCCGGTGTAGTCAGACCAGGTGCAGTGAGTGTGACCCGGCGTAGTAAGACCCGGTGCAGTGAGTGTGACCCGGCGTAGTAAGACCCGGTGCAGTGAGTGTGACCCGGTGTAGTCAGACCAGGTGCAGTGAGTGTGACCCGGTGCAGTAAGACCCGGTGCAGTGAGTGTGACCCGGCATAGTAAGACCCGGTGCAGTGAGTGTGACCCGGTGTAGTAAGACCCGGTGCAGTGAGTGTGACCCAGTGTAGTCAGACCAGGTGCAGTGAGTGTGACCCAGTATAAGACCAGGTGCAGTGAGTGTGACCTGGTGTAGTCAGACCCGGTGCAGTGAGTGTGACCCGGCGTAGTAAGACTCGGTGCAGTGAGTGTGACCCGGTGTAGTCAGACCCGGTGCAGTGAGTGTGACCCGGCATAGTAAGACCCGGTGCAGTGAGTGTGACCCGGTGTAGTCAGACCAGGTGCAGTGAGTGTGACCCGGTGCAGTAAGACCCGGTGCAGTGAGTGTGACCCGGTGTAGTAAGACCCGGTGCAGTGAGTGTGACCCGGTGTAGTAAGACCCGGTGCAGTGAGTGTGACCCGGTGTAGTCAGACCCGGTGCAGTGAGTGTGACCCGGTGTAGTAAGACCCGGTGCAGTGAGTGTGACCCAGTGTAGTCAGACCAGGTGCAGTGAGTGTGACCCAGTATAAGACCAGGTGCAGTGAGTGTGACCTGGTGCAGTCAGACCCGGTGCAGTGAGTGTGACCCGGCGTAGTAAGACCCGGTGCAGTGAGTGTGACCCGGTGTAGTCAGACCCGGTGCAGTGAGTGTGACCCGGCGTAGTAAGACCCGGTGCAGTGAGTGTGACCCGGTGTAGTCAGACCAGGTGCAGTGAGTGTGACCCGGTGCAGTCAGACCCGGTGCAGTGAGTGTGACCCGGCGTAGTAAGACCCGGTGCAGTGAGTGTGACCCGGTGTAGTAAGACCCGGTGCAGTGAGTGTGACCCAGTGTAGTCAGACCCGGTGCAGTGAGTGTGACCCGGTGTAGTAAGACCCGGTGCAGTGAGTGTGACCCAGTGTAGTCAGACCAGGTGCAGTGAGTGTGACCCAGTATAAGACCAGGTGCAGTGAGTGTGACCTGGTGTAGTCAGACCCGGTGCAGTGAGTGTGACCCGGCGTAGTAAGACCCGGTGCAGTGAGTGTGACCCGGTGTAGTCAGACCCGGTGCAGTGAGTGTGACCCGGCGTAGTAAGACCCGGTGCAGTGAGTGTGACCCGGTGTAGTCAGACCAGGTGCAGTGAGTGTGACCCAGTATAAGACCAGGTGCAGTGAGTGTGACCCGGTGCAGTAAGACCCGGTGCAGTGAGTGTGACCCGGTGTAGTAAGACCCGGTGCAGTGAGTGTGACCCGGTGTAGTCAGACCAGGTGCAGTGAGTGTGACCCAGTATAAGACCAGGTGCAGTGAGTGTGACCTGGTGTAGTCAGACCCGGTGCAGTGAGTGTGACCCGGCGTAGTAAGACCCGGTGCAGTGAGTGTGACCCGGTGTAGTCAGACCAGGTGCAGTGAGTGTGACCCGGTGCAGTAAGACCCGGTGCAGTGAGTGTGACCCGGCGTAGTAAGACCCGGTGCAGTGAGTGTGACCCGGTGTAGTAAGACCCGGTGCAGTGAGTGTGACCCAGTGTAGTCAGACCAGGTGCAGTGAGTGTGACCCGGTGTAGTAAGACCCGGTGCAGTGAGTGTGACCCGGCGTAGTAAGACCAGGTGCAGTGAGTGTGACCCAGTATAAGACCAGGTGCAGTGAGTGTGACCTGGTGTAGTCAGACCCGGTGCAGTGAGTGTGACCCGGCGTAGTAAGACCCGGTGCAGTGAGTGTGACCCGGTGTAGTCAGACCCGGTGCAGTGAGTGTGACCCGGCGTAGTAAGACCCGGTGCAGTGAGTGTGACCCGGTGTAGTCAGACCAGGTGCAGTGAGTGTGACCCGGTGCAGTAAGACCCGGTGCAGTGAGTGTGACCCGGCATAGTAAGACCCGGTGCAGTGAGTGTGACCCGGTGTAGTAAGACCCGGTGCAGTGAGTGTGACCCAGTGTAGTCAGACCAGGTGCAGTGAGTGTGACCCAGTATAAGACCAGGTGCAGTGAGTGTGACCTGGTGTAGTCAGACCCGGTGCAGTGAGTGTGACCCGGCGTAGTAAGACTCGGTGCAGTGAGTGTGACCCGGTGTAGTCAGACCCGGTGCAGTGAGTGTGACCCGGCATAGTAAGACCCGGTGCAGTGAGTGTGACCCGGTGTAGTCAGACCAGGTGCAGTGAGTGTGACCCGGTGCAGTAAGACCCGGTGCAGTGAGTATGACCAGATGCGGTAAGACCCAGTGCAGTGAGTACGACCCGGTGTAGTAAGAACGGGTGCAGTGACTATGACCTGGTGTAGTAAGACCCAGTGCAGTATGACCCAGTGTAGTAACACCCGGTGCAGTGAGTCTGACCCAGTGTAGTAAGACCCAGTGCAGTAAGTATGACCTGGTGTAGTAACACCCAGTGCAGTGAGTATGAACCTTTGTAGTAAGACCCGGTGCAGTGAGTGTGACCCGGCGTAGTAAGACCCGGTGCAGTGAGTGTGACCCGGTGTAGTAAGACCCGGTGCAGTGAGTGTGACCCGGTGTAGTCAGACCAGGTGCAGTGAGTGTGACCCGGTGTAGTAAGACCCGGTGCAGTGAGCGTGACCCAGTGTAGTCAGACCAGGTGCAGTGAGTGTGACCCAGTATAAGACCAGGTGCAGTGAGTGTGACCTGGTGTAGTCAGACCCGGTGCAGTGAGTGTGACCCGGCGTAGTAAGACCCGGTGCAGTGAGTGTGACCCGGTGTAGTCAGACCCGGTGCAGTGAGTGTGACCCGGCGTAGTCAGACCCGGTGCAGTGAGTGTGACCCGGCGTAGTAAGACCCGGTGCAGTGAGTGTGACCCGGTGCAGTAAGACCCGGTGCAGTGAGTGTGACCCGGCGTAGTAAGACCCGGTGCAGTGAGTGTGACCCGGCGTAGTAAGACCCGGTGCAGTGAGTGTGACCCAGTGTAGTCAGACCCGGTGCAGTGAGTGTGACCCGGTGTAGTAAGACCCGGTGCAGTGAGTGTGACCCAGTGTAGTCAGACCAGGTGCAGTCAGTGTGACCCAGTATAAGACCAGGTGCAGTGAGTGTGACCTGGTGTAGTCAGACCCGGTGCAGTGAGTGTGACCCGGCATAGTAAGACCCGGTGCAGTGAGTGTGACCCGGTGTAGTCAGACCCGGTGCAGTGAGTGTGACCCGGCGTAGTAAGACCCGGTGCAGTGAGTGTGACCCGGTGTAGTCAGACCAGGTGCAGTGAGTGTGACCCGGTGCAGTAAGACCCGGTGCAGTGAGTGTGACCCGGCGTAGTAAGACCCGGTGCAGTGAGTGTGACCCGGTGTAGTAAGACCCGGTGCAGTGAGTGTGACCCAGTGTAGTCAGACCAGGTGCAGTGAGTGTGACCCGGTGTAGTAAGACCCGGTGCAGTGAGTGTGACCCGGCGTAGTAACACCAGGTGCAGTGAGTGTGACCCAGTATAAGACCAGGTGCAGTGAGTGTGACCTGGTGTAGTCAGACCCGGTGCAGTGAGTGTGACCCGGCGTAGTAAGACCCGGTGCAGTGAGTGTGACCCGGTGTAGTCAGACCCGGTGCAGTGAGTGTGACCCGGCGTAGTAAGACCCGGTGCAGTGAGTGTGACCCGGTGTAGTCAGACCAGGTGCAGTGAGTGTGACCCAGTATAAGACCAGGTGCAGTGAGTGTGACCCGGTGCAGTAAGACCCGGTGCAGTGAGTGTGACCCGGTGTAGTAAGACCCGGTGCAGTGAGTGTGACCCAGTGTAGTCAGACCAGGTGCAGTGAGTGTGACCCAGTATAAGACCAGGTGCAGTGAGTGTGACCTGGTGTAGTCAGACCTGGTGCAGTGAGTGTGACCCGGCGTAGTAAGGCCCGGTGCAGTGAGTGTGACCCGGTGTAGTCAGACCCGGTGCAGTGAGTGTGACCCGGCGTAGTAAGACCCGGTGCAGTGAGTGTGACCCGGTGTAGTCAGACCAGGTGCAGTGAGTGTGACCCGGTGCAGTAAGACCCGGTGCAGTGAGTGTGACCCGGCGTAGTAAGACCCGGTGCAGTGAGTGTGACCCGGTGTAGTCAGACCAGGTGCAGTGAGTGTGACCCGGCGTAGTAAGACCCGGTGCAGTGAGTGTGACCCGGCGTAGTAAGACCCGGTGCAGTGAGTGTGACCCGGTGTAGTCAGACCAGGTGCAGTGAGTGTGACCCGGTGCAGTAAGACCCGGTGCAGTGAGTGTGACCCGGCATAGTAAGACCCGGTGCAGTGAGTGTGACCCGGTGTAGTCAGACCCGGTGCAGTGAGTGTGACCCAGTGTAGTCACACCAGGTGCAGTGAGTGTGACCCAGTATAAGACCAGGTGCAGTGAGTGTGACCTGGTGTAGTCAGACCCGGTGCAGTGAGTGTGACCCGGCGTAGTAAGACTCGGTGCAGTGAGTGTGACCCGGTGTAGTCAGACCCGGTGCAGTGAGTGTGACCCGGCATAGTAAGACCCGGTGCAGTGAGTGTGACCCGGTGTAGTCAGACCAGGTGCAGTGAGTGTGACCCGGTGCAGTAAGACCCGGTGCAGTGAGTGTGACCCGGTGTAGTAAGACCCGGTGCAGTGAGTGTGACCCGGTGTAGTAAGACCCGGTGCAGTGAGTGTGACCCGGTGTAGTCAGACCCGGTGCAGTGAGTGTGACCCGGTGTAGTAAGACCCGGTGCAGTGAGTGTGACCCAGTGTAGTCAGACCAGGTGCAGTGAGTGTGACCCAGTATAAGACCAGGTGCAGTGAGTGTGACCTGGTGTAGTCAGACCCGGTGCAGTGAGTGTGACCCGGCGTAGTAAGACCCGGTGCAGTGAGTGTGACCCGGTGTAGTCAGACCCGGTGCAGTGAGTGTGACCCGGCGTAGTAAGACCCGGTGCAGTGAGTGTGACCCGGTGTAGTCAGACCAGGTGCAGTGAGTGTGACCCGGTGCAGTCAGACCCGGTGCAGTGAGTGTGACCCGGCGTAGTAAGACCCGGTGCAGTGAGTGTGACCCAGTGTAGTCAGACCAGGTGCAGTGAGTGTGACCCAGTATAAGACCAGGTGCAGTGAGTGTGACCTGGTGTAGTCAGACCCGGTGCAGTGAGTGTGACCCGGCATAGTAAGACCCGGTGCAGTGAGTGTGACCCGGTGTAGTCAGACCCGGTGCAGTGAGTGTGACCCGGCGTAGTAAGACCCGGTGCAGTGAGTGTGACCCGGTGTAGTCAGACCAGGTGCAGTGAGTGTGACCCAGTATAAGACCAGGTGCAGTGAGTGTGACCCGGTGCAGTAAGACCCGGTGCAGTGAGTGTGACCCGGTGTAGTAAGACCCGGTGCAGTGAGTGTGACCCGGTGTAGTCAGACCAGGTGCAGTGAGTGTGACCCAGTATAAGACCAGGTGCAGTGAGTGTGACCTGGTGTAGTCAGACCCGGTGCAGTGAGTGTGACCCGGCGTAGTAAGATCCGGTGCAGTGAGTGTGACCCGGTGTAGTCAGACCAGGTGCAGTGAGTGTGACCCGGTGCAGTAAGACCCGGTGCAGTGAGTGTGACCCGGCGTAGTAAGACCCGGTGCAGTGAGTGTGACCCGGTGTAGTAAGACCCGGTGCAGTGAGTGTGACCCAGTGTAGTCAGACCAGGTGCAGTGAGTGTGACCCGGTGTAGTTAGACCCGGTGCAGTGAGTGTGACCCGGCGTAGTAAGACCAGGTGCAGTGAGTGTGACCCAGTATAAGACCAGGTGCAGTGAGTGTGACCTGGTGTAGTCAGACCCGGTGCAGTGAGTGTGACCCGGCGTAGTAAGACCCGGTGCAGTGAGTGTGACCCGGTGTAGTCAGACCCGGTGCAGTGAGTGTGACCCGGCGTAGTAAGACCCGGTGCAGTGAGTGTGACCCGGTGTAGTCAGACCAGGTGCAGTGAGTGTGACCCGGTGCAGTAAGACCCGGTGCAGTGAGTGTGACCCGGCATAGTAAGACCCGGTGCAGTGAGTGTGACCCGGTGTAGTAAGACCCGGTGCAGTGAGTGTGACCCAGTGTAGTCAGACCAGGTGCAGTGAGTGTGACCCAGTATAAGACCAGGTGCAGTGAGTGTGACCTGGTGTAGTCAGACCCGGTGCAGTGAGTGTGACCCGGCGTAGTAAGACTCGGTGCAGTGAGTGTGACCCGGTGTAGTCAGACCCGGTGCAGTGAGTGTGACCCGGCATAGTAAGACCCGGTGCAGTGAGTGTGACCCGGTGTAGTCAGACCAGGTGCAGTGAGTGTGACCCGGTGCAGTAAGACCCGGTGCAGTGAGTATGACCAGATGCGGTAAGACCCAGTGCAGTGAGTACGACCCGGTGTAGTAAGAACGGGTGCAGTGACTATGACCTGGTGTAGTAAGACCCAGTGCAGTATGACCCAGTGTAGTAACACCCGGTGCAGTGAGTCTGACCCAGTGTAGTAAGACCCAGTGCAGTAAGTATGACCTGGTGTAGTAACACCCAGTGCAGTGAGTATGAACCTTTGTAGTAAGACCCGGTGCAGTGAGTGTGACCCGGCGTAGTAAGACCCGGTACACTGACTATGACCTGGTGTAGTAAGACCCAGTGCAGTGAGTGTGACCCAGCGTAGTAAGACCCGGTACACTGACTATGACCTGGTGTAGTAAGACCCAGTGCAGTGAGTGTGACCCGGTGTAGTAAGACCCAGTGCAGTGAGTGTGACCCGGTGTAGTCAGACCAGGTGCAGTGAGTGTGACCCAGTATAAGACCAGGTGCAGTGAGTGTGACCCGGTGTAGTCAGACCCGGTGCAGTGAGTGTGACCCGGCGTAGTAAGACCCGGTGCAGTGAGTGTGACCCGGTGTAGTCAGACCAGGTGCAGTGAGTGTGACCCGGTGCAGTAAGAACCGGTGCAGTGAGTGTGACCCGGCGTAGTAAGACCCGGTGCAGTGAGTGTGACCCGGTGTAGTAAGACCCGGTGCAGTGAGTGTGACCCGGTGTAGTCAGACCAGGTGCAGTGAGTGTGACCCAGTATAAGACCAGGTGCAGTGAGTGTGACCCGGTGCAGTAAGACCCGGTGCAGTGAGTGTGACCCGGTGTAGTAAGACCCGGTGCAGTGAGTGTGACCCAGTGTAGTCAGACCAGGTGCAGTGAGTGTGACCCAGTATAAGACCCGGTGCAGTGAGTGTGACCCGGTGTAGTCAGACCCGGTGCAGTGAGTGTGACCCGGCGTAGTAACACCCGGTGCAGTGAGTGTGACCCGGTGTAGTCAGACCAGGTGCAGTGAGTGTGACCCGGTGCAGTAAGACCCGGTGCAGTGAGTGTGACCCGGCGTAGTAACACCAGGTGCAGTGAGTGTGACCCAGTATAAGACCAGGTGCAGTGAGTGTGACCTGGTGTAGTCAGACCCGGTGCAGTGAGTGTGACCCGGCGTAGTAAGACCCGGTGCAGTGAGTGTGACCCGGTGTAGTCAGACCCGGTGCAGTGAGTGTGACCCGGCGTAGTAAGACCCGGTGCAGTGAGTGTGACCCGGTGTAGTCAGACCCGGTGCAGTGAGTGTGACCCGGCGTAGTAAGACCCGGTGCAGTGAGTGTGACCCGGTGTAGTCAGACCAGGTGCAGTGAGTGTGACCCAGTATAAGACCAGGTGCAGTGAGTGTGACCCGGTGCAGTAAGACCCGGTGCAGTGAGTGTGACCCGGTGTAGTAAGACCCGGTGCAGTGAGTGTGACCCAGTGTAGTCAGACCAGGTGCAGTGAGTGTGACCTGGTGTAGTCAGACCTGGTGCAGTGAGTGTGACCCGGCGTAGTAAGGCCCGGTGCAGTGAGTGTGACCCGGTGTAGTCAGACCCGGTGCAGTGAGTGTGACCCGGCGTAGTCAGACCCGGTGCAGTGAGTGTGACCCGGCGTAGTAAGACCCGGTGCAGTGAGTGTGACCCGGTGTAGTAAGACCCGGTGCAGTGAGTGTGACCCGGTGTAGTCAGACCTGGTGCAGTGAGTGTGACCCGGCGTAGTAAGACCCGGTGCAGTGAGTGTGACCCGGTGTAGTCAGACCAGGTGCAGTGAGTGTGACCCAGTATAAGACCAGGTGCAGTGAGTGTGACCCGGTGCAGTAAGACCCGGTGCAGTGAGTGTGACCCGGTGTAGTAAGACCCGGTGCAGTGAGTGTGACCCGGTGTAGTCAGACCAGGTGCAGTGAGTGTGACCCAGTATAAGACCAGGTGCAGTGAGTGTGACCTGGTGTAGTCAGACCCGGTGCAGTGAGTGTGACCCGGCGTAGTAAGACCCGGTGCAGTGAGTGTGACCCGGTGTAGTCAGACCAGGTGCAGTGAGTGTGACCCGGTGCAGTAAGACCCGGTGCAGTGAGTGTGACCCGGCGTAGTAAGACCCGGTGCAGTGAGTGTGACCCGGTGCAGTCAGACCAGGTGCAGTGAGTGTGACCCGGTGCAGTAAGACCCGGTGCAGTGAGTGTGACCCGGCGTAGTAAGACCCGGTGCAGTGAGTGTGACCCGGTGTAGTAAGACCAGGTGCAGTGAGTGTGACCCAGTATAAGACCAGGTGCAGTGAGTGTGACCTGGTGTAGTCAGACCCGGTGCAGTGAGTGTGACCCGGCGTAGTAAGACCCGGTGCAGTGAGTGTGACCCGGTGTAGTCAGACCCGGTGCAGTGAGTGTGACCCGGCGTAGTAAGACCCGGTGCAGTGAGTGTGACCCGGTGTAGTCAGACCAGGTGCAGTGAGTGTGACCCGGTGCAGTAAGACCCGGTGCAGTGAGTGTGACCCGGCGTAGTAAGACCCGGTGCAGTGAGTGTGACCCAGTGTAGTAAGACCTGGTGCAGTGAGTGTGTCCCAGTGTAGTCAGACCAGGTGCAGTGAGTGTGACCCGGTGTAGTCAGACCCGGTGCAGTGAGTGTGACCCAGTGTAGTCAGACCAGGTGCAGTGAGTGTGACCCAGTATAAGACCAGGTGCAGTGAGTGTGACCTGGTGTAGTCAGACCCGGTGCAGTGAGTGTGACCCGGTGTAGTCAGACCCGGTGCAGTGAGTGTGACCCGGTGCAGTAAGACCCGGTGCAGTGAGTGTGACCCGGCGTAGTAAGACCCAGTGCAGTGAGTGTGACCCGGTGTAGTAAGACCCGGTGCAGTGAGTGTGACCCAGTGTAGTCAGACCAGGTGCAGTGAGTGTGACCCGGTGTAGTAAGACCCGGTGCAGTGAGTGTGACCCAGTGTAGTCAGACCAGGTGCAGTGAGTGTGACCCAGTATAAGACCAGGTGCAGTGAGTGTGACCTGGTGTAGTCAGACCCGGTGCAGTGAGTGTGACCCGGCGTAGTAAGACCCGGTGCAGTGAGTGTGACCCGGTGTAGTCAGACCCGGTGCAGTGAGTGTGACCCGGCGTAGTAAGACCCGGTGCAGTGAGTGTGACCCGGTGTAGTCAGACCAGGTGCAGTGAGTGTGACCCGGTGCAGTAAGACCCGGTGCAGTGAGTGTGACCCAGCGTAGTAAGACCCGGTGCAGTGAGTGTGACCCAGTGTAGTCAGACCAGGTGCAGTGAGTGTGACCCGGTGCAGTAAGACCCGGTGCAGTGAGTGTGACCCGATGCAGTAAGACCCGGTGCAGTGAGTATGGCCCATTCAGTGAGTAAGACCCAGTGCCCTGTGTGAGGCTACAAGGGTGAGCCCTGCTGCCCCACACCTCTCTAGGAGCTAACCTAAGACGGCCAGAAAGGGCCTGGCTCACATTGCACCACGTCAAATGACAGAGATTTAAATCACAAATATGTTTTTACTAATAAGAAAAAATATGGAGGTGGGGCACCTGCTTAGTGATAAGATGTAATTTGCAATGGCTGTAGCATGGATGAATCTCTCAGCAATAACCCTGCATTTCATAATTGTACAAAAATAACTATGAGGATAAAAACCATATCTACAATATAATTACTGTTTTATAAAATGTACGTATGCTTGTAACAACTAAACGGTCCAGTGTCTAGAAAGCTGTGTGTTTCTCCTTGCTTCTCTTGTGAATGACATTGATCTTATACAACTGCCTCTCAGTGGACAATCAGTCACTGTCAGGGGCCTCTGCAGTGAATCCATCTTCCAGTGTCTTCAAACAAGGAACTCAGCCAGCTGATTGAGAGTGCCTGTGTTCAGGAGGGTGGGGACTGAGCCTTTGAGCCTGGCTTCTGGGTCCCTGGGGCATCTAAGATCACCTGCTTTGTCCCTGGCCCTCCTTCAGTTGAAACGGAAGACTCCACGTTATTTGACTTTCCACGCTTTTTTTCTTCAATTCCATGAGCTTCCAATAACTGACACCAATCAGCTGAGCCTGTTTCTGTTGCCTTCAAACAAAGGATGCTGAAGATCTGGCACTGACCTAAATTTTTGAAACTGAAAAAGTCTCACTACTTCTCTAATGAAGTTCTCTGCTCCGGGACGGTGAGAATTGAGTAAAGAGGCTGGCAGAGAAGTCCAACAAGCAATGGCTTGTAACCCAAAATGCACACTGTGCCTGCCACTACTGTTAAAAGAAAGAAAACAATAATAGAATTACTCTTTTCTAATACGTAAGAACTTGTACATCACTCAAAAGCAAGGGGAGAACAAGCTCCTCTGAAGTAACACGGCACTGTTCTGCCATCCCTCAAAATAAAACGATGACAATAATACACTGAAAATTCCAAATGAGGCACAAGATTCAATAGCCCCCACATTCTACAGCCCACCAACAGCACATGTCCATGTCCCTTTCCAGATCCGTAGGAGACCTCGCCCCCATGGGGACGGCACAGAAGGTGAGGAGCCAGCACGGGAGGGCTGGGCTGGTGAGGAGGTCTCTGGCGAGAGCTTCTCGAGAGTTCCACCAACACCCCCAGGGGGAATGGAGGGGATGCTACCGACCAGCATGTGAGCAGTGCCCTGGAAGGCGCGTCTGTGGAGATGGGGAAAGTGGGTGCATTCCAGGGAAATTCTGGAGGTAAAATCACAGGTTATTAGAAGTTATTAAGGGACTTCATCAATGAAAGACTTTTGCTCTGCAAACACCCACTTGGAGTGGAGGAAAAGATAAGCCACAGACTGGAATAGAAGTTTTACAAACCACATATGCTACCAGAGGACTGGCATCCAGAATGTGTACTGCAATCTCTCAAATCTCAATTGTTAGAAGTACAAACACTCCAGTGAGAAAACAGACACGAGCAGACGTCTCACGGAAGACAACAAGCAGATGTCAAAGCAGCCCACGGAAAGGTATTCAGCATCACCAGCCATCGGGAACAGGCACATTAAAACCACCGTGAGGCCCCACCCTGCACCCATCAGAAAGGCGAAAATAACACACAGCGACAATCCCAAATGCTGCTGAGAATATGGAGGGGCTGGACCACTCATGCTGTTGACAGGAGGCTGAAATGCTGCAGCCGCCCTGGAAAACAGGTTGCCAGTTTCTTATAAAACTAAACATACAACAATCATATGGTCCACCAACTGCCCTCTTAGGCATCTGTCCCAGAAAAAAAAAAAAAAAAACCTCACACACACACAAACACTTACACAAAAACATGAATGAATGCTGTCAGCAGCTATGACGGCACAGCACTTTGGCAAAGTATTATCTGAGGGGAAACTGGGCAGTGTGCGTGGGCTTTCTCTGCACTGTGTCTGTCTCTCTGTACTGTGTCTGTCTCTGTACTGTGTCTGTCTGTCTCTGTACTGTGCTTCTCTGAACTGTGCCTGTCTATCTCTGTACTGTGTCTGTCTGTCTCTGTGCTGTGCCTGTCTCCGTACTGTGTCTGTCTGTCTCTGTACTGTGCCTGTCTCTGAACTGTGCCTGTCTATCTCTGTACTGTGTCTGTCTCTGTGCTCTGCCTGTCTCTGCACTGTGTCTGTCTCTGTACTGTCTGTCTCTGCACTGTGTCTGTCTCTCTACTGTGTCTGTCTCTGCAGTGTCTGTCTCTGCACTGTGTCTGTCTCTGTGCTCTGCCTGTCTCTGTACTGTGTCTGTCTCTGCACTGTGTCTCCCTCTGCACTCTGCCTGTCTGTGTACTGTGTCTCTCTCTGTACTGTGTCTGCCTCTGCACTGTGTCGGTCTCTGCACTGTGTCTGTCTCTGCACTCTGCCTGTCTCTGCACTGTGTCTGTCTCTGCACTGTCTCTGTCTCTGCACTGTGTCTGTCTCTCTACTGTGTCTGTCTCTGCAGTCTCTGTCTCTGCACTGTGTCTGTCTCTGTACTGTGCCTGTCTCTGCACTGTGTCTGTCTCTGCACTGTGTCTGTCTCTGCGCTCTGCCTGTCTCTGTACTGTGTCTGTCTCTGCACTGTGTCTGTCTCTCTACTGTGTCTGTCTCTGCAGTGTCTGTCTCTGCACTGTGTCAGTATAAAAAACTGTGCCTGTCTCTGCACTGTGTCTGTCTCTGCACTGTGTCTGTCTCTCTAATGTGTCTGTCTCTGCAGTGTCTGTCTCTGCGCTCTGCCTGTCTCTGTACTGTGTCTGTCTCTGCACTGTGTCTGTCTCTCTGCACTGTGTCTGTCTCTGCGCTCTGCCTGTCTCTGCACTGTGTCTGTCTCTGCACTGTGTCTGTCTGTCTCTGTACTATGTCTGTCTGTCTCTGCACTGTGTCTGTCTCTGCACTGTGTCTGTCTCTGCGCTCTGCCTGTCTCTGTACTGTGTCTGTCTCTGTACTGTGTCTGTCTCTGCACTGTGTCTGTCTCTCTACTGTGTCTGTCTCTGCACTGTGTCTGTCTATGCACAGTGTCTGTCTCTGTGCTCAGCCTGTCTATGTACTGTGTCTATCTCTGCACTGTGTCTCCCTCTGCACTCTGCCTGTCTGTGTACTGTGTCTCTCTCTGAACTGTGTCTGCCTCTGCACTGAGTCGGTCTCTGCACAGTGTCTGTTTCTGCACTCTGCCTGTCTCTGCACAGTGTCTGTCTCTGCACTGTCTCTGTCTCTGCACTGTGTCTGTCTCTCTACTGTGTCTGTCTCTGCAGTCTCTGTCTCTGCACTGTGTCTGTCTCTGTACTGTGCCTGTCTCTGCACTGTGTCTGTCTCTGCACTGTGTCTGTCTCTGCGCTCTGCCTGTCTCTGTACTGTGTCTGTCTCTGCACTGTGTCTGTCTCTCTACTGTGTCTGTCTCTGCAGTGTCTGTCTCTGCACTGTGTCTGTCTCTGTACTGTGCCTGTCTCTGCACTGTGTCTGTCTCTGCACTGTGTCTGTCTCTCTACTGTGTCTGTCTCTGCAGTGTCTGTCTCTGCGCTCTACCTAAATTAGTAAAGTGTCGTCTCTGCACTGTGTCTGTCTTAGGATCACTTCTCTGCGCTCTGCCTGTCTCTGCACTGTGTCTGTCTCTATACTGTGTCTGTCTATGCAATGTAAGTATTAACAATATATCTGTATACCAAAAGAGCCTCTCTCTGCACTGTGTCTGTCTCTGCACAGTGTCTGTCTCTGCACTCTGCCTGTCTCTGTACTGTGTCTGTCTCTGCACTGTGTCTGTCTCTCTACTGTGTCTGTCTCTGCAGTGTCTGTCTCTGCACTGTGTCTGTCTCTGTACTGTGCCTGTCTCTGCACTGTGTCTGTCTCTGCACTGTGTCTGTCTCTCTACTGTGTCTGTCTCTGCAGTGTCTGTCTCTGCGCTCTGCCTGTCTCTGTACTGTGTCTGTCTCTGCACTGTGTCTGTCTCTCTGCACTGTGTCTGTCTCTGCGCTCTGCCTGTCTCTGCACTGTGTCTGTCTCTGCACTGTGTCTGTCTGTCTCTGTACTATGTCTGTCTGTCTCTGCACTGTGTCTGTCTCTGCACTGTGTCTGTCTCTGCGCTCTGCCTGTCTCTGTACTGTGTCTGTCTCTGTACTGTGTCTGTCTCTGCACTGTGTCTGTCTCTCTACTGTGTCTGTCTCTGCACTGTGTCTGTCTCTGCACTGTCTATCTCTGCGCTCTGCCTGTCTCTGTACTGTGTCTGTCTCTGCACAGTGTCTGTCTCTGCACTGTGCCTGTCTCTGCGCTCTCCCTGTCTCTGTACTGTGTCTGTCTCTGCACTGTGTCTGTTTGGTCTCTCCTGTCTCTGCACTCTGCCTGTCTCTGCAATGTGTCTAAACAGTCAAGCGTCTCAGCAGTATTCTGTCTCTGCAATGTGTCTGTCTCTGTACTGTGCCTGTCTCTGCACTGTGTCTGTCTCTGCACTGTGTCTGTCTCTAAACTGTGTCTGTCTCTACAGTGTCTGTCTCTGCGCTCTGCCTGTCTCTGTACTGTGTCTGTCTCTGCACTGTGTCTGTCTCTCTGCACTGTGTCTGTCTCTGCGCTCTGCCTGTCTCTGCACTGTGTCTGTCTCTGCACTGTGTCTGTCTGTCTCTGTACTATGTCTGTCTGTCTCTGCACTGTGTCTGTCTCTGCACTGTGTCTGTCTCTGCGCTCTGCCTGTCTCTGTACTGTGTCTGTCTCTGTACTGTGTCTGTCTCTGCACTGTGTCTGTCTCTCTACTGTGTCTGTCTCTGCACTGTGTCTGTCTCTGCACTGTCTATCTCTGCGCTCTGCCTGTCTCTGTACTGTGTCTGTCTCTGCACTGTGTCTGTCTCTGCACTGTGCCTGTCTCTGCGCTCTGCCTGTCTCTGTACTGTGTCTGTCTCTGCACTGTGTCTGTCTCTGTGCTCTGCCTGTCTCTGCACTCTGCCTGTCTCTGCACTGTGTCTGTCTCTGCACTGTGTCTGTCTGTCTCTGTACTATGTCTGTCTGTCTCTGCACTGTGTCTCTCTCTGCGCTCTGCCTGTCTCTGTACTGTGTCTGTCTCTGCACTGTGTCTGTCTCTGCACTGTGCCTGTCTCTGCGCTCTGCCTGTCTCTGCACTGTGTCTGTCTCTGCACTGTGTTTGTTTCTCACTGTGTCTGTCTCTGCGCTCTGCCTGTCTCTGCACTGTGTCTATCTGTCTCTGCACTGTGTCTGTCTCTACAATGTGTCTGTCTATGCGCTCTGCCAGTCTCTGTACTGTGTCTGTATCAGTACTGTGTCTGTCTATGCACTGTGTCAGTCTCAAAACTGAGTCTGTCTATGCACTGTGTCTGTCTCTGCACTGTCTATCTCTGCGCTCAGCCTGTCTCTGTACTGAGTCAGTCTCTGCACTGAGTCTGTCTCTGCACTGTGCCTGTCTCTGCGCTCTGCCTGTCTCTGTACTGAGTCTGTCTATGCACTGTGTCTGTCTCTGTGCTCAGCCTGTCTCTGCACTCTGCCTGTCTCTGCACTGTGTCTGTCTCTGCACTGTGTCTGTCTGTCTCTGTACTAAGTCTGTCTGTCTCTGCACTGTGTCTCTCTCTGCGCTCTGCCTGTCTCTGTACTGTGTCTGTCTCTGCACTGTGTCTGTCTCTGCACTGTGCCTGTCTCTGCGCTCTGCCTGTCTCTGCCCTGTGTCTGTCTCTGCACTGAGTCTAAAAATAAAAATCAAAAAAGAAGGGAATCGGCACGCATTTGCACTGTGTCAGAAGTCACACTGTGCGAGTCTCTGCACTGTGTCTGTCTCTGCACTGTCTCTCTCTGCGCTCTGCCTGTCTCTGTACTGTGTCTGTCTCTGCACTGTGCCTGTCTCTGCGCTCTGCCTGTCTCTGCGCTCTGCCTGTCTCTGTACTGTGTCTGTCTCTCTCTGCGCTCTGCCTGTCTCTGCACTGTGTCTGTCTCTGCACTGTGCCTGTCTCTGTACTATCTGTCTGTGCGTTCTGCCTGTCTCTGTACTGTGTCTGTCTCTCTCTGCGCTCTGCCTGTCTCTGTACTGTGTCTGTCTCTGTACTGTGCCTGTCTCTGTACTGTGCCTGTCTCTGCACTGTGTCTGTCTCTGTACTGTGTCTGTCTCTGCACTGTGTCTGTCTCTGTACTGTGCCTGTCTCTGCACTGTGTCTGTCTCTGTACTGTGCCTGTCTCTGCACTGTGTCTGTCTCTGCACTGTGTCTGTCTCTGTACTATCTGTCTCTGCACTGTGTCTGTCTCTGCACTGTGTCTGTCTCTGCACTGTGTCTGTCTCTGTACTGTCTGTGTCTGCACTGTGTCTGTCTCTGTACTGTCTGTCTCTGCACTGTGTCTGTCTCTGCACTGTGTCTGTCTCTGTACTGTCTGTCTCTGCACTGTGTCTGTCTCTGTACTATCTGTCTCTGCACTGTGTCTGTCTCTGTACTGTGCCTGTCTCTGCACTGTGTCTGTCTCTGCACTGTGCCTGTCTCTGTACTGTGCCTGTCTCTGCACTGTGTCTGTCTCTGCACTGTGTCTGTCTCTGTACTGTCTGTCTCTGCACTGTGTCTGTCTCTGTACTATCTGTCTCTGCGCTCTGCCTGTCTCTGTACTGTGTCTGTCTCTGCACTGTGTCTGTCTCTGCACTGTGCCTGTCTCTGTACTGGTGGCCCGGTCTCTGCACTGTGCCTGTCTCTGCACTGGGTCTGTCTCTGTACTGTGCCTGTCTCTGCACTGTGTCTGTCTCTGCACTGTGTCTGTCTCTGTACTATCTGTCTCTGCACTGTGTCTGTCTCTGCACTGTGTCTGTCTCTGCACTGTGTCTGTCTCTGTACTGTCTGTGTCTGCACTGTGTCTGTCTCTGTACTGTCTGTCTCTGCACTGTGTCTGTCTCTGCACTGTGTCTGTCTCTGTACTGTCTGTCTCTGCACTGTGTCTGTCTCTGTACTATCTGTCTCTGCACTGTGTCTGTCTCTGTACTGTGCCTGTCTCTGCACTGTGTCTGTCTCTGCACTGTGCCTGTCTCTGTACTGTGCCTGTCTCTGCACTGTGTCTGTCTCTGCACTGTGTCTGTCTCTGTACTGTCTGTCTCTGCACTGTGTCTGTCTCTGTACTATCTGTCTCTGCGCTCTGCCTGTCTCTGTACTGTGTCTGTCTCTGCACTGTGTCTGTCTCTGCACTGTGCCTGTCTCTGTACTGTGCCTGTCTCTGCACTGTGCCTGTCTCTGTACTGTGTCTGTCTCTGCACTGTGTCTGTCTCTGTACTGTGTCTGTCTCTGTACTGTGCCTGTCTCTGCACTGTGTCTGTCTCTGCACTGTGCCTGTCTCTGTACTGTGCCTGTCTCTGCGCTCTGCCTGTCTCTGCACTGTGTCTGTCTCTGCACTGTCTGTCTCTGTACTGTGTCTGTCTCTGCGCTCTGCCTGTCTCTGCACTGTGTCTGTCTCTGCACTGTGTCTATCTCTGTACTGTCTGTCTCTGCACTGTCTGTCTCTGCACTGTGCCTGTCTCTGCACTGTGTCTGTCTCTGCACCGTGTCTGTCTCTGTACTCTCTGTGTCTGCACCGTGTCTGTCTCTGTACCGTGTCTGTCTCTGTACTGTGTCTGTCTCTGCACTGTGTCTGTCTCTGTACTGTGTCTGTCTGTCTCTGCACTGTGTCTGTCTGTGCACTGTGCCTGTCTCTGCACTGTGCCTTTCTCTGCGCTGTGCCTGTCTCTGCGCTGTGCCTGTCTCTGCGCTGTGTCCATCTCTGTGCTGTGTCCGTCTCTGCACTGTGTCCGTCTCTGTACTGTCTGTCTCTGCACTGTGTCTGTCTCTGCACTGTCTGTCTCTGTACTGTCTGTCTCTGCGCTGCGTCTGTCTCTGCGCTGCGTCTGTCTCTGCGCTGTGTCTCTCTCTGCACTGTCTGTCTCTGTACTGTCTGTCTCTGCACTGTGTCTGTCTCTGTACTATCTGTCTCTGCACTGTGTCTGTCTCTGTACTGTGCCTGTCTCTGCACTGTGTCTGTCTCTGCACTGTGCCTGTCTCTGTACTGTGCCTGTCTCTGCACTGTGTCTGTCTCTGCACTGTGTCTGTCTCTGTACTGTCTGTCTCTGCACTGGTCTGTCTCTGTACTATCTGTCTCTGCGCTCTGCCTGTCTCTGTACTGTGTCTGTCTCTGCACTGTGTCTGTCTCTGCACTGTGCCTGTCTCTGTACTGTGCCTGTCTCTGCACTGTGCCTGTCTCTGTACTGTGTCTGTCTCTGCACTGTGTCTGTCTCTGTACTGTGTCTGTCTCTGTACTGTGCCTGTCTCTGCACTGTGTCTGTCTCTGCACTGTGCCTGTCTCTGTACTGTGCCTGTCTCTGCGCTCTGCCTGTCTCTGCACTGTGTCTGTCTCTGCACTGTCTGTCTCTGTACTGTGTCTGTCTCTGCGCTCTGCCTGTCTCTGCACTGTGTCTGTCTCTGCACTGTGTCTATCTCTGTACTGTCTGTCTCTGCACTGTCTGTCTCTGCACTGTGCCTGTCTCTGCACTGTGTCTGTCTCTGCACCGTGTCTGTCTCTGTACTCTCTGTGTCTGCACCGTGTCTGTCTCTGTACCGTGTCTGTCTCTGTACTGTGTCTGTCTCTGCACTGTGTCTGTCTCTGTACTGTGTCTGTCTGTCTCTGCACTGTGTCTGTCTGTGCACTGTGCCTGTCTCTGCACTGTGCCTTTCTCTGCGCTGTGCCTGTCTCTGCGCTGTGCCTGTCTCTGCGCTGTGTCCGTCTCTGTGCTGTGTCCGTCTCTGCACTGTGTCCGTCTCTGTACTGTCTGTCTCTGCACTGTGTCTGTCTCTGCACTGTCTGTCTCTGTACTGTCTGTCTCTGCGCTGCGTCTGTCTCTGCGCTGCGTCTGTCTCTGCGCTGTGTCTCTCTCTGCACTCTGCCTGTCTCTGTACTGTGTCCTACAGCAGCATGTGAATCTCCGACCATTACAGCACAATGTTAGAAAGAGGCACTGTTTGTTTTGCATGATTCTGATGTACACCAGTGTCAGTTGGCAGGGTTGAGTTAATTAACTCTTTTCCCCCAACCACGTGGCTGAAACTTAATTTACCATGGTACGTTAAATGTAATTAACTGCACAGAATACAGAGTGCACTGCTGGGTATAGCCCACACATGGCTACGTAAAGAGCTGATGCAATGATGACGGGTGACGAATCCCATCACTTCATCCGACGTCCCTCAGTGGCGGCTCTCTGTGCCCGCTACTTGGTTCACACCCACGAGGCAAAGCGTGTACCTCAGCTGCCTTCTTATCTCTTACTGAAATGAAGCAGAAAAAGATCAAAATAAGCCCAAGACAAAAGGAAAGAAGAAGTAGAAAGCAAAACACCGATGAAATTGTAAACAGAAAGACAATAGAGAAAATCAATGAAACAGAAAGTTGGTTCTTTCCCCCTAGCGCTATTGAGATACAATTAACAAATAAAAATTGTATACATTTGTGGTTTGTAACATAATGTTTTGACATAACTTGATATGAATGTATTTAATTTGTGAGAAAAAATTGGTTCTGTGAAAAGATCAGTGAATCTGACAAATTCTAGAAAGACTGAAAAAAACAGTGAAGAAACAATTTGCCACTATCAGGAATAAAACAGGGAATATCTCTACGGACTCTGCAGACATCAAAAGCGTAATCAAAGGATGCTTATTAACAACTCTCTACACAAATTTTACAACTACATGAAATGGGCCAGTTTCTTCAAAAGCACAAATTATCACAATTCAACCCAATATGAACTAGATAATTTGATTATTTCCATACCCATTAAAGAAATTGAATTTGTAATTAAAAATTGCTGAAAAAGAAATTTACAGGGGAGATTATTCCACTGGAGTCTCCTACCAAAGGTTTAAATAGAAATTAACACCAATTTAAAACAATGTTTCCAGGAAAGACAAGGTAAAGAAACACTTTCCAAATCACTTCAGGGGGCTAGCTAGTATGACCCAACACTAGGTAATAGACAAAGACAATACAAAAATAAAACAAAGGGCAATAACCTTCAGGAATGTAGAGACAAAGTATTAGCAAGTAGAACTCATCAATAGCGGGACACCGTGACGGGAGGAGGGGAGTATTTAAGGGATGTAAGAGCGGCTCCACATCTGAAAATCAACCAGTGTAATCCGTCGCACCGTTAGAGAAGCGACACCGTTTTCAGTTCGGCTCCATCTGGAGACTAACAGGGCAGTTCCTCGCCAGTCACAATCCATGGTCCTCAGATGCTTGCAGTTGAGGAAACCACCTAAAAACACCTACAAGGACACAGTCCTCTGACAGTGACGAGTCCAGACGTCCCGGTGCCCATAACAACATACGCTTTCAAGATAATAAGTTATGCCTCGATGTACTCACACACTAAAATGTCAAGGGTAGTTTTCTTTAAATCAATAGAATAATAAAATTGGTCGCACAGTCTGCTCACCGTCACGTAGCCACAGCTTAGTCTTTACAAAGACAAGACCCCATATAAGAAAAACTTAAAGACGGTGTGTTCCTCAGCTTGCTTTCTGAGGGCGCCCTCCTCTATAATGAAGGAGTTTCCAATAAGCCTGCTCCTTTCACTGCTTTCACTGGCCT